>NC_000006.12:104767759-104919274 GCF_000001405.40 Homo sapiens | reverse complement strand
AACACTTACTAGATGGCAGATAGTGTGCCAGAGATATGGAAATAAACAAGATGGATATGGTTTCTGCCCTCATTTTGAGGGGGGCAGGGGGAGAAATCAGTAGAGTGTGGAATTATTATTAGTGGGAAGAATTCTATTTGGAGGCCAAAAGGGTATCACAGAAAAGAGCACCTTATCATTTTTCAGTCTTCCACTGTGGTGGCAATATGACAGAGAGCAGAAGCACACTATGACTGGAAATATAAAGAAATATGCCAACACCATGATGATAGTGAAAGCAGTAGCCCAGAAAGCAGTATTAGAAATAGAATGCTGTGATGTTTTCCAATGAAGAACATGAGCGACATTGACCAGTCAAGGGAATTGATAGTGGGTAGAGGCTCAGGCCAATTCTCATTGCCTCCCAGAACCATATTGAACAGAGATGTAGGAAATGGTATGACTATCACAAGGATTCTTTGGACAATAATAGGAAACATGAACACAAGATAACTAGGGCTGCATTTCACACAACTAATGAAAAACAAGGTTAAAAAGAACAAAGCTGGTGGCATCACATTACCCAACTTCAAACTATACTATAAGGCTAAAGTAACCAAAACAGCATGGTACAAGTACAAAAAACAGACACATAGACCAATGAAACAGAATGGAGAACCCAGAAGTAAAGCTGCACACCTACAGCCATCACTACAAAACTTTGATGTAGTCGACAAAAATAAACAACAGGGAAAGGACTCCCTGTTCAATAAATGGTGCTGGAATAGCTGGTTAGCCAGATGAGAAAGAATGAAATTGGACCCCTAACTTTCGCCATCTGCAAAAATTAACTCAAGATGGATTAAAGATTTCACTCTCTTTTTGAGACAGGTCTTGCTCTTTCATCCATGCTGGAGTGCAGTGGCACAATCTCAGCTCACTGCAACCTCTGTCTCCCAGGTTCAAGCCAACCCCCCACCTTAGCCTTTTGAGAAGCTGGGACTACAGGTGCATGCCACCACACCTGGCGAATTTTTGTACTTTTTTGTAGAGATGGGGTTTTCCTTTGTTGCCCAGGCTGGTCTTGAACTTGGAGTTCAAGTGATCCTCCCATTTTGGCCTCCCAAAGCCCTGAGATTACAGGCATGAGCCACTGCACGGATTAAAGATTTAAATGTAAGACCTAAAACTATAAAAGTCCTCTAAGAAAACCTAGGAAATAACATTCTGGATTCTGGACATCAGCTTTGGGAAAGAATTTATGACTAAGTCCTCAAAAGCAATAGCAACAACAATCTTTAAAAAAATGACAAGTGGGACCTAATTAAACTAAAGAGCTTTTGCACAGAAAAAAAGAAAAAGAAAAACCAACCTGCTGTCAACATAGTAAACAAACAACTTATAGAATGGAAGAAAATATTCCCCAAGCTATGCATCCAACAAAGGTCCAATATCCAGAATCTATAAGGAACTAAAACAATTCAACAAGCAAAAAATAAATAACCCCATTAAAAAACAAAAGATATGAACAGACACATAGAAGCTGCCAACAAGCATAGGAAAAAATGCTCAACATCACTAAGTCATCAGAAAAATACAAATCAAAACCACAATGAGATACCATATCACACCACTCAGAATAGCTATTATTATAAATTTTTTTAACTAACAGATGTGGCGAGGCTGTCAAGAGAAGGTAATGCTTATATACTGTTGGTGGGAATGTAAATTAGTTCAGCCATTGTGGAAAGCAGTTTGGAGATTTCTCAAAGAACTTAAAACAATGACCATTCACCCCAGTAATCCCATTACTGGTTATATAACAAAGGAAAATAAGCCATTCTACCAAAAAGACACATGCACGCATAGGTTAATTGCAGTGCTATTCACAATAGGAAAGACGTGGTCTCAACCTAGGTGCTCATACAGAAAATGTGGTACATATAAACCATGGAATACTGTGCAGCCGTAAAAGCAACAAAATCATGTCCATTGCAACAGCATGGATGCAGCTAGAGGCTGTTATCTTAAGTGAATTAGCAGGAACAGAAAACCAAATACCACATGTTCTCACTTATAAGTGGGAGCTAAACATTGAGTACTCATGGACATAAAGATTGGAACGGTAGACACCGGGGACTACTAAAGCAGGGAAAGAGGGAGGGATGCAAGGGTTGAAAAGCTCCCTATTGGATACTTTGCCCACTACCTGGGTGATGGGATCATTCATACCCCAAACCTCAGAATCATGCAGTATACCCATGTAACAAACCTGCACATGTACCCCCTGAATAAAAAATAAAAGTTAAAATTAAAAAAAAAAAAGAAACAGACATTCAACAGACAATGAGAGGTGAGAGGGTAGATGTTCTCTTAGCACGAAATTCAATGCTGGATTGTTTCATATTTATGGTTTTATGATAATCAGTGTGCAAAAGACCTGATGATGTATTTTCACTGATAACTCATTCATCTATTTATAAATGAACAAGCATGCAAGGTCATTTCTATTTTTTTTTAATTTTTAATTTTTGGGGGTACATAGTATATATATGTATTTATTGCGTACAGGAAACAGTTTGATATAAACACAATGCATAGTAATCACATCAGGGTAAATGATGTCTTCATAACCTCAATCACATCCTTTCTTTGTGTTAGAGACAATCCAATTATACTCTTAGTTATTTTCAAATGTACAATAAATTGCTGTTGACTGCAGTCACCCCATTGTGTTTTCAAATACTAGATCTTATTCATTCTATGTATGTTTTTGTACCCATTAACTGTTCCCACTTCTCCCACCCCACTACCCTTCCCAGCCTCTGGTAACTATCATTCTGCTCTCTCTTTCCATGAGTTCAGGTTTTTTAATTTTTAGCTCCCACAAATGAGTAAGAGTATATGATACTTGTCTTTCTTTGCCTGGCTTATTTCATGTTGCATAATGACCTCCAGTTCTTTTCATATTGTTGCAAATGACAAGATCTCATTCTTTTTTATGACTGAATAGTACTCCATTGTGTACATGTACCACATATTCTTTATCCATTCATCTGCTGATGGATACTTGGATTGCTTCCAAATCTTTATTGTGAATAGTGCTGCAATAAACATGGGAGTTCAGATGTCTCTTCTACATACTGATTTATTTTCTTTTGAATATATACCTAGCAGTGGAATTGCTGGATGATGTGGTAGTTCTGTTTTCAGTTTTTTGAGGAACCTCCAAACTGTTGTCCATGGTGGCTATACTAATTTACATTCCCACCAACAGTGTGCAAGGGTTTCCTTTTCTCCTCATCCTCAGCAGCATTTGTTACTGCCTGTTTTTTGGATATAAGTGGTTTTAACAGGGGTGAGATGATATCTCATTGTAGTTTTGATTTGCATTTCTCTGATGATCAATGATATTGAGCACCTTTCATATACCTGTTTTCCATTTGTATGTCTTGTTTTTGATAAGTGTCTACTCATATCTTTTGCCCATTTTAAAATCAGATTATTAGATTTTTTCCTGTAGAGTTGTTGGAGCTCCTTATGCATTCTGGTTATAAATCCCTTGTCAGATAGATAGTGTGCAAATATTTTCTCCCATTCTGTGGGTTGTCTCTTCACTTTGTTGATTGTTTTCTTTGCTGTGCAGAAGCTTTTAACTTGATGTGATCCCATCTGTCATTTTTTGCTTGGATAGTTTGTGCTTGTGGGATATTACTCAAGAAACGTTCCCCATCTAGTGTCCTGGAGAGTTTCCCCCATGTTTTATTTTAATAGTTTCATAGTTTGAGGTCTTGTAATTAAATATTTAATCAATTTTGTTTGATTTTGTATGTGGCAAGAGATAGGGGTCTAACTTCATTCTTTTGCATACGGATATCCAGTTTTATCAGCACCATTTATTGAAGAGACCATCCTTACCCAAATGTATGTTTTTGGCACTTTTGTAGAAAGTGAGTTCACTGTAGATGTATGGATTTATTTCTGGGTTATCTCTGCTGTTCCATGGGTCTATGTGTCTGCTTTAATGCCAGTATCAGGCTGTTTTGGTTACTATGGCTCTGTAGTATAATTTGAAATTAGGGGCCAGGCGCGGTGGCTCACACCTGTAATCCCAGCACTTTGGGAGGCCTAGGCGGGCGGATCACAAGGTCAGGAGATAGAGACCATCCCGGCCCACATGGAGAAACTTCATCTCTACTAAAAATACAAAAATTAGCTGGCTGTGGTAGCACACACCTGTAGTCCCAGCTACTTGGGAGGCTGAGACAGGAAAATCGCTTGAACCCGGGAGGCAGAGGTTGCAGTGAGCCGAGATCATGCCACTGCACTCCAGCCTGGCAACAGAGCAAGACTCTGTCTCAAAAAATAAGAAAATAAAAAAAGAAAAAAGAAAAAAAAATTAGCTAATGTGATTCCTCCAGTTTTGTTCTTTTTCCTTAAGATTAGCTTTGGCTATTCTGGGTCTTTTGTGGTTCTATATAAATTTTAGCGTGTGTGTGTGTGTGTGTGTGTGTGTAGAATGTCATTGGTATTTTGATAGGGATTACATTGAATCTGTAAATTGCTTTGGGTAGTATGGACACTTTAACAATATTGATTCTTCCAATCCATGAACATGGAATATTTTTTCCATTTTTTTGTGTCCTCTGCAATTTTTTTAATCATTGTTTTATAGTTATCATTGTAGAGATCTTTCACATCTTTGGTTAATTTGTAGATATTTAATTTCATTTGTAGCTACTGTAAATGGGATTACTTTCTTAATTTTTTTTTTTTTACCATTTGTTTACTGTTGGCACATAGATATGCTACTGATTTTTGTATGTTGATTTTTGTGTCCTGCAACTTTACTAAATTTGTATATTGGTTCTAATTTTTTTTTTTTGGTGGAGTCTTCAGGTTTTTCCAAATGTAAGATTATATCATTTGCAATCAAGGATAAGTTGACTTCTTCCTTTCCAGTTTTGATGCCCTTTATTTCTGTCTCTTGTCTGATTTCTCTAGCTAGGACTTCCAGTAGTATGTTAAATAACAGTGGTGAAAGTGGGCATCCTTGTCATGCTCCAGATCTTAGAGGAAAGTCTCTCAGTTCTTCCGCATTCAGTATGATATTATCTGCAGGCCTGTCATATATGGCTTTTATTATGTTGAGGTATGCTCCTTCTAGCCCCAGTTTTTTGAGGGTTTTTATATTAAGGGTGTTTAATTTTATCAAATGATTTTTCAGCATCAGTTGAAATGGTCATATGGTTTTTGTCCTTCAGTCTGTTGATATAATGTATCACACTGATTGATTTGCATATGTCAAACCATCCTATCATCCCTGGAATAAATCCTACTTCGTTATGATGAAAGATCTTTTTAATATGTTATTGAATTTCATTTGCTAGTATTTTGTTTAGGATTTTTGAATCAATGTTCATCAGGGATATTGACCTGTAGTTTTCTTTTATTGATGCATCTTTGTCTGGTTTTGCTATCAGGGTAATATTGGTCTCATAGAATGAGTTTGAAGTATTCTCTCCTTCTCTATTTTTTCAGAATAGTTTGAGTAGGATTGGTCTTCGTTCTTCTTTAAATGTTTGGTAAAATTCAGCAGTGAAGCCATCAGGTCCCAGGCTTTTCTTTGCTGGGAGACTTTTATTACAGCTTTGATCTCATTATTTGTTATTGGTTTGTTCAGGTTTAGGATTTCTTCATAGTTCAATCTTGGTAGGTTGTATGTGTCTAGGAATTTATCCATTTCCTCTAGGTTTTCCAATTTATTGGCATATAGTTGCTCATAGTAGCCTCTAATGATCATTTGAATTTCTGCAGTATTGGTTGTAATGTCTCCTTTTTCATCTCTGATTTTATTTATTTGGATTTTTACTCTTTTTTTCCTTACATAATCTCGCTAAATGTTTATCAATTTTGTTTATGTTTTCAAAAAATGAACTCTTTATTTCATTGCTCTTTTCTGTTCTTTTTGATTTTATTTATTTCTGCTCTGATCGTTATTATTTGTTTCCTTCTACTAACTTTGGGTTTGCCCTGCTCTTGCTTTTCTAGGCCTTTAACACACATCATTAGGTTATTTGAAATTTTTTTTTCTTCTTCTTCTTCTTTTTTTTTTTTTGAGACAGAGTTTCACTCTTATCACCCAGGCTGGAGGGCAATTGTGTGATATTGGCTCACTGCAACCTCCGCCTCCTGAGTTCAAGCAATTCTCCTGCCTCAGCCTCCTGAGTAGCTGGGTTTACAGGCGCCTGCCACCATGCCCAGCTATTTTTTGTATTTTTAATTGAGACAGGGTTTCACCATGTAGGCCAGGCTGGTCTCAAACTTCTGACCTCAAGTGATCCACCCACCTCGGCCTCCCAAAATGCTGGGACTGCAGGTGTGAGCCACCACACCTGGCCTCTTCTTTTTAAATGTAGGCACTTACAGCCATAAACTTCTCTCTTAATACTGCTTTCGCCGTATCCCACAGGTTTTTGTATGTTACATTTCAATTATCATTTGTTTCTAGAAAGTTTTCAATTTTCTTTTTAATCTCTTCTTTGGCCTACTGCTCATTCAGGAGTGTATTATTTAAATTCCATGTGTTTGTATCGTTTCCAAGATTCCTCTTGTTTTTAGTTTCTAGTTTTATTCCATTATGGTCAGAGAAGACGCTTGATATTATTTCAATTTTTTCTCAATGTTTTAAGACCTGTTTTTGGATCTAACATGATCTAAGCTTGAGAATGATCTGTGTGTTCAGGAGAAGAATGTACATTCTACAGCCATTGGATGAGATGTCCTGTAAATATCTACTAGGTCCATTTGGTCTATAGTGAAGATTAAATCCAATGATTCTGTGTTGATTTTCTGTCTGGATGATCTGTCCAATGCTGAAAGTGGGGTGTCGAAATCTCCAGCTATTATTGTATTGGGGTCTATCTCTCTCTTTCTCTCTAATATTTACTTTAAATATTTGAGTGCGCCAGTTTTTGGTGCATATATATTTAAAATTATTGCTTAATTGACCCCTTTATCATCATGTAATGACCCTCTTTGTCTCTTTTTATAGTTTTTGTCTTGAAATCTATATTGTCTGATATAAGAGTAGCTGCTCCTGCTCTTTTTAGGTTTCCATTTGCATGGAATATCTTTTTCTATCCCTTAATTTCTAGTCTGCATGTGTCTTTGTAGGTGGAAGTGTGTTTCTTGTAGGCAGTAGATATTGAGTCTTGTTTTTTCATCCATTTGGCCACTCTGTGTCTTTTGATTGGAGAGTTTAGCTCATTTACATTCAGTGTTATTATTGATAAGTAAGGACTTACTCCTGCCATTTTGTGATTTGTTTTCTGGCTGTTTTGTGGTCTTCTCTTCCTTCTTTCCTTCCCTCCTGTCTTCCTTTGAGTGAAGGTGATTTTCTCCGGTTATATGTTTTTTTCTTGTTGTTTTGTTTGTTTGTTTTTGTTGTTGTTGAGACAGAGTCTCTCTCTCTGTCACCCAAGCTGGAGTGCAGTGGTACAATCTCAGCTCACTGCAACCTCTGCCTCCTGAGTTCAAGCAATTTTCTTGCCTCAGTCTCCCATGTATCTGGGATTACAGGCATGCGCCACATTGCCTGGCTAATTTTTTTGTGCATTTTTAGTAGAGATGGAGTTTCACCGTGTTGGCCAGGCTGGTCTCCAACCCCTGACCTCAAGTGATCCACCTGCCTTGGCCTCCCAAAGTGCTGGGATTACAGGCGTGAGCCACTGTGCCCGGCCTGGTTGTATGTTTCAATGTCTTGATTATGTTTTCTTCCAGTTTTATTGAGGTATATTCGACAAATAAAAATTGTATATATTTGGCCAGGCATGGTGGCTCACACCTGTAATCCCAGCACTTTGGGAGGCTGAGGCAGGCGTATCATGAGGTCAAGAGATTGAGACCATCCTGGCCAACTTGGTGAAACCCCGTCTCTACTAAAAATAGAAAAATTAGCTGGGTGTGGTGGCGCATGCCTCTAATCCCAGCTACTCAGGAGGCTGATGTAGGAGAATTACTTGAACCTGGGAGGGGGAGGTTGCAGTGAGCTGAGATCACGCCATTGCACTCCAGCCTGGGCGACAAGAGCGAAACTTCATCTCAAAAAAAAATTGTATATATTCAAGGTGTACAACATGATTATTTGATATACATATACATTGTGAAATGATTGCCACAATCAAGTGAACACATCTATCATCACACTTGCTGACCATGTTTTCGGGGCAGGGAGACAGCAATGAGGTCCCTGAAGATCTGCTCTCTTAGCAAATTAAAGTATACAATACATTATTAGTAACTATAGTCACCATGCCATATGTTAGACCACCAGAACTTATTCATTTTATAACTGAAAGTTTATACCCTTTGACCAATATCACTTCATTTCCCTGCCCCCAGCCCATGGCAATTACTATTCTGCTCTGTGCTTCTATGAATTCATTTTTTTAAGATTCCACATGTAAGTGAGATCATACAGTATATGTCTTTCTGTGTCTAGTTTATTTCACTTAGCATGATGTCCTCCAGTTTTATTCATGTTGTTGCAAAAGGCAGGATTTTCTTCTTTTTTATGGCTGAATAATATTCCATTGTGTGTACATATATGTGTGTGTATATAGTGTATATATGTATATACACTAATTTCTTGCTTTATATTTTTTATGCATTCATTGTATGATTTTAGATTCGAGGTTACCATGAGACTTGCAAGTAATATAAACCATTATTTTAAACTGATGATAACTTAATTCTAATTGCATAAACTAATAAGCAAAAAGAAAACTAATAAAGACTGCACTTTAACTTTGTCTCCCCACTTTTAAATTTTTGGTTGTTTCTATTTATATCTTATTGTACTATGTCTTGAAAAGTTGTCATATTTATCATTTTTGGTCAGTAATCTTTTAATCTTTTCTATTTAATTCTTTTAATCTTTTCTATTTAAGATATGAGTTATTTACACATGACAATTACAGTGTTATAATATTCTGTATCTTCAGACGATTTCTTATTACTCATTAAATATCCTTTCCTTTCAGATTGAAGAACTCCCTTTAGCATTTCTTGTAGAGGTCTGTAGAAGAACAGGTCTGGTGTTGAAACCCCTCCGCTTTTGTTTGTCTGGGAAAGTCTTTATTTCTCCTTCATGTTTGAAGGATGTTTTCACCAGATATGCTATTCTAGGATAAAAGTCTTTCCTTCAGCACTTTAAATACGGCATGACACTGTCTCCTGGCCTATAAGGTTTCTATTGAAAAGTTTGCTGCCAGATGTATTGGAGCTCCATTGTATGTTCTTCATTTCTTTTTTCTTGCTGCTTTTAAGATCCTTTCTTTATCCTTGACCTTGGGGAATTTGTTGATTAAATGCCTTGAGGTAGTCTTCTTTGGGTTAAATCTGCTTGATGTTCTGTAATCTTCTAGTGTTTGGATACTGATCTCTTTCTCTAGGTTTGGGAAGTTCCCTGTTATTTCTTTGAGTAAACTTTCTACCCCTATCTCTCCACCTCCTCTTTAAGGCCAATAACTCTTAGATTTGCCCTTTTGAGGCTATTTTCTAGGTCTTGTAGGTGTGCTTCATTCTTTTTTATTCTTTTTTATTTTGTCTCCTCTGACTGTGTGTTTTCAAATATTCTGTCTTCAACCTCACTAATTCTTCTGCTTGATCACTTCTGTTGTTAGGAGACTCTGTTGCATTCTTCAGTATGTCAATTACATTTTCAACTCCAGATATTCAGCTTCTTTTTAGTTATTTCAGTTTATTTGTTAAATTTATCTGATAGAATTCTGAGTTGCTTCTCTGTGTTATCTTCGGAATTTCTGTTGGCATTACACTGAGTTTCCTCAAAACAGCTATTTTGCATTACCTGTCTCAAAGGTCACATATTTCTGTCACTCTGTGATTGGTCACTGTTGCTTTACTTAATTTGGTGAGATCATGTTTTCCTGGATGCTTCTGATGCTTGTGGATTTTGTCAGTGTCTGACATTGAAGAGTTAGGTAGTTATTTTAGTCTTCACAGTCTGGGCTTGTTTGTACCTGTCCTTCTTGGGAAGGCTTTCCAGGTATTTGAAGTTACTTGGGTGTTGTGATCTAAGTTTTTGGTCACTGCAGTCATATCTGCATTATAGGGCACCCCAATCTCAGTAAAGCTATGGCTCTTGCACACTTGTAGAGGTACTGCCTTGCTGTTCTTTGATACGATCCAGAAGAATTCCCTGGATTACCAGGTATAGACTTTTGTGCTCTTCCCTTCCTTTCTCCCAGAGTCTCTTTCTTTGTCCTGAGCTGCCCAGAGCTCAGGCAGAGGTGTAAAGCACCCCTGTGGCTGCCACCACTGGGACTGTGCTGGGTCAGACCTGAAGCCAGCACAGCACTGAGTCTTGCCCAAGGCCCACAGTAACCACTCTCATCTGCCACCGGTGTTCACTCAAGACCCTAAAGCTATACAATTAGTGGGTGGCAAAACCAGCTAGGCTTGTTTCCTTCCCTTCAGGGTAGTGAGATCCCTCTGCGCTGGGAGGATCTAGAGATGCCATTGAGGAGCCACGGCCTGGAGTTAGAAACTTTAGGAATCTACCATATCCTCCACTACTCTGGCTTAGCTGGCACCTAACCCACAATACAAAGTCCTTGCCACTCTTCCCTCCCCTTTCCACAAGCAGAGAAGTCCCTCCCTATGACCACCACTGCCCAAGGGCCGTTATTTGCCTGACTACTGTCAATGTTCACACAAATGCTCTTCAGTCAGCTTATGGTGAATGCTGTCAGGCCAGGGACTATCCCTTCAGGAAAGTGGGCTCCCCTCTGGCCCAAGACAGGTCCAGAAATGCTGTTCAAGAACTAAGGCCTGGAAGCAGGGAGCCCAAGAGCCTACTTGGTGGTCTACCCCACTGTGGCTGAGCTGGTACCTAGGTTGCAAGACAAGGTCTCCTTTACTCTTCCCTCTTCTTTTCTTAAGCAGACAGAGCCTCTTCCCTTAAGCACCCCAGCTAGGAATTTGCTGGGTCACACTTGAAGCTAGCATGTCTCTGAGTCACACCCAATGCCCATGGCAAGTACTGCCTGGCTATATTATTGAGGGCCTAAGGGCTCTGTAGTCAGCAAGTGATGAATCCTGCCAGTACTAAGTTAAAGCCAGCAGATTCCCTTCTGCCCCAGGGTATGTTTAGAAATGTCATCTGAGCGCTAAGGCCTGGAATGGGGGCCTCGGGATTCTACCCAGTGCCCTATCCTACTGTGGCTGAGCTGGTATTCAAGTTGCAAGACAAAGTCCTCTTTACTCTTCCCTCTTTTTTCCTCAAGCAGAAAGAAGGAGTCTCTCCCAGTGCTGTGAGCTGTGCTGCCTGAGGTTTGGGGAGGCATGGCTCAAGCACTTGCGTGGCTGCCCTGGCTAGTATCTCACTAAGCCATGTACCCCATAAGTCCAATGGTTCCCAGCCCACAACAGCACCAGGACTTGCTTAGGAATTGCAGGCCTTGTAGCCTAGACTGCCTTTCAAGTTTATTTAGGATCCTAGAGCACTTTAGCCCACATTGGTGAGGCTTGTCAGAACTCAGGTTCTGACTGCTGGGATGGGCAATTCCCCTCTAGTTAAAATTGGTCTAAATGCTCCTCCATGGGCACTGCTTGAGTTCTGCCCAGTGTTGCTTTCTGCTGTGACAGGGCAGCTCTAAGTTCCAATACAAAATCCCACAATCACTGTGCTTTCCTTCTCCCAAACGCACGGATTCTCTCTTCATGCCATGCAACTGCCACTGGGGAATGGGGGAGGGGTGGCGTCAGCAATTTAAGACTGTCTTTCCTACCCTCTTCAATGCCTGCTTCAGTGATAGAAAGTTAAACCAGGTACTGTGAATGCTCATCTAATTTTTTGTTCTTTTGAAGGTGCTTTTTTGTGTGTGGACAGTTGTTTAATTTGGTGTTCCTGCAAGGAGGATGATCAGTGGAGGCTTCTATTCAGCCATCTTGCTCTGCCTCTCCATGTTTCTATTATTAAAAACTTCATGTTCTTTTTTTTCCCCCCGGCTCAGTTATAAATATATTGTCTGCCTGTTAAAAATAATAATAATTTAAAAATAAGGTTGATACTAAAGTATCTATGGTGATATGCAGTGAAAGCAGTGCTTACAGAAACATTTATAGCATATATATTAAAAAGAAGATTAAAATTAACCATCAAACTTTCTGTCTTAGGACACTAGAAAAATAAGAGCAAATGATATCCAAAGTAAGCAGGGAAAAAAAAATTAGAGCAGAAATCAAAGAAATTGAAAATAGGAAATAGAGAAAATCAACAAAACCAAAATATGTTTATGTTTTATTTTTATTTTATTTTATTTTATTTTATTTTATTTTATTTTATTTTATTTTATTTTTGAGATGGAGTCTCACTATGTCACCAGGCTGGAGTGCAGTGCCACGATCTCGGCTCACTGCAACCTGACTCCCTGGTTCAAGCGATCCACCTGCCTCAGTCTCCCAAAGTGCTGGGATTACAGGTGTGAGCCACCATGCCTGGCCAAGATGTTTCTTGTAAAAGATCAATAAAGTCAATAAATCTTTAAAAAAAAAAAGTGAGAAAGAAAACAAGAAAAGCTGGGTGCGGTGGCTCACACCTGTAATCCCAGCACTTTGGGAGGCCGAGCTGGGCAGATCACGAGGTCAGGAAGTCGAGACCATCCTCGCTAACACGGTGAAACCCCATCTCTACTAAAAATACAAAAACTTAGCCAGGCGTGGTGGCAGGCGCCTGTAGTCCCAGCTACTCGGGAGGCTGAGGCAGGAGAATGGCATGACCCCGGGAGGCAGAGCTTGCAGTGAGCCGAGACTGCGCCACTGCACTCCAGCCTGGGCAACAAAGCGAGACTCTGTCTCAAAAAAAAAAAAAAAAAAAAAAAGAAAACAAGAAAGAAGAAAGAGGACACAAATTACTAATATCAGAAATGAAAAAAGGGCATCACCACAGATCCCATGGACATTAAAGGATAATAAAGGATTATTATAAACAACTCTATGCCCACAAATTTAGATGAAACAGACCAATTCCTTGAACGATACAATCTGCCAAAACTCACACAAGAGAAAAATGGACAATTTGAATAGGTCTATATCTGTTAAAGAAATTGAATCAATAATAGCCTTTCAAAACAGAAAGCACTAGGCCCAGATGGGTTCACCTATGAATTTTACCAAACATTTAAGGAAAAAATTATGCCAGTTATCTACAATCTCTTTCAGAGGATAGAAACAGAGGGAATACTGTCTGACTCATTCTGTGAATCCAGGATTACACTAGGATTTTCTTGTAATACCAGACAAAGGTATTACAAGAAAACTGCAGACCAATATACTCTCATGAGCATAAATGCAAAAACCCTCAACAAAATATTAGCAAATGGAATCCAACAATGTATAAGAGTTATACACATGACCAACTGTGATGTATTCCAGGTGTTAAGGCTGATTTGATATTTCAAAATGCATTAATGTAATCCATCACATCAAAAGACTAAAAAGAAAAATTATGTCAGGTGTGGTGACTCATGCCTGTAATCCCAGCACTTTGGGAGGCCAAGGCTGGCAGATCACAAGGTCAGGTGATCGAGACCATCCTGGCTGACATGGTGAAACCCCATCTCTACTAAAAATAAAAACTAAAAAAAAAAATTAGCCAGGCGTGGTGGCTGGCGCCTGTAGTCCCAGCCGCTCAGGAGGCTGAGGCAGGAGAATGGCGTGAACCTGGGAGGCGGAGCTTGCAGTGAGCTGAGATCGCACCACTGCACTCCAGCCTGGGCAACAGAGCGAGAGTCCGTCTCAAAAAAAAAAAAAAACAAAAGTCAGCTGGGCGTGGTGGCAGGTGCCTGTAATCCCAGCTACTCGGGAGGCTGAGGCAGGAGAATCACTTGAACCTGGGAGGCGGAAGTTGCAGTGAGCCTAGATTGCACCATTGCACTCCAGCCTGGGTGACAGAGTGAGTCTCCATCTCAAAAAAAAAAAAAAAGAGAAACATTATATGATTATATAAATAGATGTGGAAAGCATTTGACAAATTCAACAACCACTGATAATAAAAACTCTCAGTAAATAGGAATACAAGGGAGTGTCCTTGACTTGATAAAGAATATCTATAAAAATCTACAGCTAACATCATACCTAATAGTGAGAAACTCAAAGCTTTCCCATTAAGATCATAAACAAGACAAGGACATCCCCTCTCACCACTCCTTTTCAATATTTTGCAATATTTTACTGGAAGTACTAGTTAATGCAATACAACAAGAAAATTAAATAAAAGATATACAGATTGGGAAGAAATAAGTAAAACTGTCTTTGTTTGCAGATTATATGATCATCTATGTAGAAAATTCAAAAGAATAGACAAAAAACCTCCTTGAACTAATAAGCAATTATAGCAAGGTTGCAGGATTCAAAGTTAATATCAAAAGTCAACCACGTTTCTGTATGCCAGCAATGAACAAGTGGAATTCAAAATTAAATACAAATACCCTTTACATTAGCACCCACAAATGAAATACTTAGGTATAAATCTAACAAAATATGTAAAAGATCTTTATGAGGAAAACTACAAAACTCCGAAGAATGAAATCAAAGAACTAAATAAATGGAGAAATATCCTATGTCCATGGTTAGGAAGACTCAATATTTTCAATATCCCAGTTTTCCCCAACTAAATTTATAGAGTCAATCCCAATCAAAATTGTAGCAAGTTATTTTGTGTATATTGACAAAGTGATTTTAAATTTTATTTATTTATTTGTTTGTTTGCTTATTTGAGACAGGGTCTCACTAGGCTGGAGTGAAGTGGTACAATCATGGCTCACTGCAGCCTTGTCCTCCCAGGTTCAAGCGATCCTCCCACCTCACCCTCCCACATAGCTGGATCTACAGGCACATGCAACCATGCCTGGCTAAGTTGTTTATTTTTTGTAGAGATAGGGTTTTGCCACATTGCCCAGACTGGGTTCGAACTTCTGGACTCAGCAATCTGCCTACCTTTGCCTCTCAAAGTGCTGGGATTACAGGCATGAGCCACCGCACCCAGATGATTTTAAATTTTATACAGAAAGGCAAAAGACCCAGAATAACCAATACAATATTGAAGAAGAACAAAGTTGGAGGATTGAAACTACCTGACTTTAAGACTTTCCATAAAGCTACCGTTATCAAGACAGTGTGGTATTGGTGAAAAAATAGAGAAATAGATGATCCATGAGCAAAAACATGAATCCAGACACAGATCTTCCACCCTTTACAAAATTTAACAAAAATGGATTATAGAGGCCAGGCACAGTGGCTCGCCCTGTATTCCCAGCACTTTGGAAGGCTGAGGTGGGTGGATCACCTGAGGTCAGGAGTTTGAGACAAGCCTGGCCAACATGGTGAAATCTTGTCTCTACTAAAAATATAAAAACTAGCCAGGCGTGGTGGTGGGTACCTGTAATCCCAGCTACTTGGGGGGCTGAGGCAGGAGAATTACTTGAACCTGGGAGGTGGAGGTTGCAGTGAGCTGTGATCACGCCATTGCACTCCAGCCTGGGTGACAAGAGAGAAACTTCCTCTCAAAAAAAGAAAAAAAAAAGGGGGATCATAATGGATCATAGCCCTAAATATAAGAGGCAAAATTTTTAAACTCCTAGAAGATAACATAGGAGAAAATCTAGATGAACTTGGATATGACAATGACTTTTTAGGGACAACACTGAAGACATGATCCATGAAAGAACTAATTGATTAGCTGGACTTAGTTAAAAATCGAAACTTCTGCCCCCAAAATACAATGTCAAGAGAATGAGAAGATAAGCCATAGATAGGGGAGAAAATATTTGTATAGACACATCTGATAAACGACTGCTATCCAAAATATACAAATACTTCTTAAAACTCAACAATAAGAGAAAAAAAACCCAATTTAAAAAATTGGGTGGCCAGGGGTGGTGGCTTATGCCTGTAATCCCAACACGTTGGGAGGTGGGTGGATCACTTGAGGTCAGGAGTTCAAGGCCAGCTTGGCCAACATGGTGAAACCCTGCCTCTACTAAAAATAGAAAAATTAGCCGGGCATGGTGGCCACATGCCTGTAATCCCAGCTACTTGGGAGGCTGAGGCAGGAGAATCACTTGAACCCAAGAGGCAGAGGTTGCAGTGCACTCTACTATAGCCACTGCACTCTAGCCTGGGTAACAGAGCAAGACTCTGCCTTTAAAAAAGAAAAAATGGGCCGGGCGCAGTGGCTCACGCCTGTAATCCCAGCACTTTGGGAGGCCGAGGCAGGCGGATGACGAGGTCAGGAGCTCGAGATCATCCTGGCTAACACGGTGAAACCCTGTCCTACTAAAAATACAAAAAAATTAGCCGGGCAGGAGAATTATTAAAGTGCGTCTTTTGTTCATTTGTTTTAGTAAAGATTACATGGATAATTAGAGATAGAGTTAGGGTTATTGGACATTTTTTCTTGTTTTTGTAGAGCCCATGTTTTCTTTAATCTCCTTGAGAATCAAAGCAATTATGTAAAATTTTCTTCTTCCCAAGTGTGCCCTTCACCTGCAAATTGTATCCTTTATTCCAGTCTGGTTTTGTTTCAGCATTTCTGTAGCCACCTGCGGCAGGAGAATGGCGTGAACCCGGGAGGTGGAGCTTCCAGTGAGCCGAGATCGCTCCACTGCACTCCAGCCTGGGCGACAAAGCGAGACTCCGTCTCAAAAAAAAAAAAAAGCCAAAGACCTGAACAGAGACTTCATCAAAAAATACGTGTAGGTGGCAAATAAGCATATTGAAAAGATTGAAAAGATGCTCCACATCACATGTTATCAGAGAAATGAAAATTAAAACAACAACAAGATACTACCATACTCCTATTATAATGACCAAAATCTGGAACACTGACAACACCAAATGCTAGTGAGGATGTGGAGCAACAGGAACTCTCATTCATTGCTGGTGGGAATGCAAAATGGTACAGCCACTTTAGAAGACAATTTTGGCTGTTTCTTACAAAACTAAACATATTCTTACCATATTGTCCACAAATCATGCTCCTTGGCATTTACCTAAAGTCATTTACCTAAAGGAGTTGAAAACTTATATGCACACACGTTTACTGCATTTTTTATTCATAATTGCCAAAACTTGGAAGCAACCAACATATTCTTTAGTAGGTGAATGGATAAATAAACTGTAGTTTTTTAGACAATGGAATATTACTCACCACTAAAATTAAACGAGTTATCAAGCCATGAAAAGACATGAAGGGTCTTTAAATGCGTATTATTAAGTGAAAGAAGCCAATCTGAAAATGTTGATGTATAATTCCAACTACACATCATAGAATGTGTGATGGATGGATGGATGGATGGATGGATGGATGGATGGATGGATGATTCCAACTATAGGGCATTCTGGAAAAGGCAAAACTCTGGAGACACTAAAAAGATCAGTGGTTGGCAGGGGTTAGTGAGGGAGGAAAGGTTGAATAGGTGGAGAACAGAAAATTTTAGGACCGTGAAAATACTCTGATACAAATGTTGGATACATGACATTAAACGTTTTTCCAAGGCATACAATGTAAAATACGAAGAGCTAACCCTGATATAAACTATGCACTTTGGGTGATTATCATGTGTCAACACAGTTTCATCAGTTGTGACAAATATGTCACTCTGGTGGTGGATATTGATAATGGAGGAATCTATGCATTTGTAGGGTGATGGGGATATATGGGAAATCTCTATACCTTCATCTTTTTTTTTTTTTTTTTTTTGAGATGGAGTTTTGCTCAGTCGCCCAGGCTGGAGTGCAATGGCGGGATCTCGGCTCACTGCAACCTCTGCCTCTTGGATTCAAGCGATTCTCCTGCCTCAGACTCCCGAGTAGCTGGGATTACAGGCGCCCGACATCATGCCCGGCTAATTTTTGTATTTTTGATAGAGACAAGGTTTCACCATATTGGTCAGGCTGGTCTTGAACTCCTGACCTCAGGTGATCTACCCACCTCGGCCTCCCAAAGTGCTGTGATTATAGGCATGAGCCACCGTGCCCAGCCTATACCTTCATCTTAATTTTTTTGTGAAACCAAAAGTGCTGTAAAAATAGTCTTTTTTAAAAAGATGGCAAGAAATTTAAAAATATATTATCTATGATATTGCTTCATAGAACAGTGGGTTTTTTTTTTTCTTTTTTCTTTTTTTTTTTAGAGACAAGGTCTCTGTTGCCCAGGCTGGAGTGCAGTGATGCAGTCATGACTCAGTGAAGCTTCTACCTCCTAAGCTCAAGTGATCTGCCTGCCTCAGCCTCCCAACTAGCTGGGACCACAGGCATGAGCCACTGCGCCTAGCAGAACAGTATTTTTTTTAACAACTCACTCTACTATAGTGATAGTCTGTCTTCAAAGCAAACCTGTGGGGCAGTTAGCCATACAATAAATAGTTGATTCAGAGTGGTGTGGAGATACTCAAGTTTCCTACTCTCAGATTTCTGCAGGTTTCCATAAGGGCTTGAAACACAGCCACACGTAGTTGAATTGGTGACATGCAAGGGGTTTAGATAATAATTAGTACATTATGAGGAAATTGACTGGTTCATATTACAGTATCCTTGTGTGCAAGAGAGCATCAACAATGTAACCATCATTTCATTGAAACACCTGTCAGGTTGTTTCAAGTGCTTATGATGGATGCCTGTGATCTACTGAGCTGAAATAGTTTTCATTGATAATTGGGGAAATCAGAGCATGTCCATAAAGCAAAAATACCTCCAGCATCCTCAAAAGTTTGAAAATTTCTAAAGTAAATCAATTAACTCAATAATAACCTCTAGCCTCCCTTTCTTTCAGTATTTTTCAATTTTATATTGATATTGAATACAATTTGCAGTACAATACAATTAGTGCCTGTCCTCTGTCTATGTACTTGCTCTAGTATATTTATCTTCATTTGGGATAATGTCCATTACTGATACTTCTTCAGTCATAATTCTATCCAATTTTTTTTGCAAAGTATTGTGCATAGCTATTCTACATTTAAATTTCCAGTGTACTGAATTTTTATTTGCAGCAATATTAAAGTTGATTTTTTAAAAACTTGAATCTTAAGCCAGGTGCAGTGATGTGTGCATGTAGGCCCAGCTACTCAAGAGGCTGAGGTGGGTGGATCCCTTGAGTCCAGGATTTCAAAGCCAGCCTGGGCAATATAGCAAGAGATAATTTCTTAAAAAAAATTTTTTTAACCTTTGATCTTAAAACTATTGAAATGAAATAAGTTTATTGAAAAAAATTAGAACATGATGGAGTATAGAAAGTAATAAATAGAATTCACAGGGTTAAGGGTTTGTTTTGGTATGGGCTTTTCCAAAGCATCAACAAAGCATTACCCTACCTGAAGTCATTTTGTAGTGTTGTAGGACTACAAGGTAATAAGGCACCCACTGTGATCCCCTATTTTGAAGATGAAAGGCTGAAAGCCTGGAGAGGCAACAAGAAAGGCAAAGACAAGCCACTTGGAGGCCATTCCCCCAGTGCAGCTGGTCAGTTGTAATAGACTTTGTGATGACTAGCTGCCATATTAAACATTCTCTAATCTGACTCCTTAATCACAGTGAGAGCTCTAGAGGGGAAAAGACAAGGGATTCTATATTAGGATCCACATTTGCTGCAAAGGAACAAAAATGATTAGATGGAGAAAAGATAAGTTGGCCCACTCAATAAAAAAGAAAGGGAAAGCTAAAGGGGGGGAAAAAAAAGAAAAAGAACACAACTAATAAATCATGGGATGTCACACTAACCTGATTTTTCACAAAACTGTATATAACTCATTCTGAAGCTAAAGAATAAACCAACACCTAAGGACATCCCGCTGAATAGGAAAGATACGAATGATACTTTTCATAATTTGGCATAACTGGAAAGTGGTAGATGTTTTTTAACATAAAGTCATAATACTGTGATTACTTATAACCCCAGACATTTTACCTAATCCTCTTAGGCAATGAAGGGGCTAAAGAATAAAAAGCATTAAAATGAAACCTCTAGCTCATATTATAAGGTAAGAATTCAAATGGCCCCCAAATAAATAAAAAACACCCATCAAGATGATTCTATGGAAAAATTGCAAGATATGGCTGGGCGTGGTGGCTCATGCCTGTAATACCAGCACTTTGGGAGGCCAAGGCGGGTGAATCACGAAGTCAGGAATTCAAGACCGGCCTGGCCAGGATAGTGAAACCTCATCTCTACTAAAAATACAAAAATTAGCCAAGCATGGTGGCGGGCCCCTGTAATCCCAGCTACTTAGGAGGCTGAGGCAGGAGAATTGCTTGAACCCGGGAGGCAGGGGTTGCAGTGAGCCGAGATCACACCACTGCACTCCAGCCTGGGTGACAGAGTGAGACTCCATCTCAAAAAAAAAGAAAAGAAAAATAGCAAGATAATTATATCTTGATATTTTTTGACAAATACCAAGAAACACCTACATAGGACTTCTACAAAAAAACAAAAAAAGCACTTTAATAATTTTTTTCATCATCTTTAAGGGATAAACGAAAATGAATGTTCATGCTATGTAGGAAAGGACTAGTGATATATATTGAATCTTTTTAAACACAGAATTAAACTTATATAACTCTGGTAAATGGTGAGAGAGAAGAATGTAAATCTTGTAACTCTTAGAGAAGAATCTTAGTGTATAATGATAATCATTTGATTGTAATAGTCTAGGACAAAATTCTCAGAGCATGCAAACAAAAATTGCAAGTTGGAAAGCTAGGAGCCGTATTCCCTGTCAGAAAACACAGGATAGAATAGAATAGAAATACTAATTCAGTGATATGATTTTACTATAATTTTATTTTTAAATATGAGTAAAATATGAACAAAACCACTTTCATTTTCTAAAACTAAGTTCAGGTGGTACAAGAAAGTGGGGCTTCTTAGCTTCAAGGTGTTATGGAACCCCAGCTATGGAAGAAATATCTGAGGCTATCTATGAAAATATTTAATAGCTTAACGCATTCTATTGTTTCATTTCAAACTCTGATCAAAATAATGCCAGTCAGCTGAGCCAAGTGTATACATTCCTCACTCAACCCCAGACAGCTTCATAATGATTCATTAAGCAGCTAATTAGGCTTGTATTACTCTCAGCCACAGGCTCACAGATCCCACCCAATGGACAAACCTTTGGCATGATCCTTGCTCTTGGTGCATCTCACTTCATTTTGCTATTCAGAGGCAGCTCAAGAGAGATTTTTGTGTCCTAGAAAAAAAAAAAAGTATTTTAAGCAGCCTTGTCCATGCACTGATTTTGATTTGTTTTGTTGAATATGTTCAAAAGAGGAGTGCTAGGAAATTTAGTGATTCCACAGCTTAAACTTAAAAGGAGAACCTCAAGTCAATTGTTGGGTAGGTGGCAAGGAGTTATATAGAGAGTATACTTCAGGACTATAACATGTGGCTCTTTTGTGAAGAGGAGTATCTTGCTCTCATGACCTGAAGAAAATCCCGAATACATAGATTCAAGTCCACTTATTCAGCTCTTGAGATGATAGGGTGTTACCTATGGAAAATCCTTCTACGTAGAATTTTACTTTGGTCCTGTGTTGTCAAAGTACCAGTTTGTGGACCTCCAGGGCTTGCAAAATGGTCATTTTAAATGAGATTTTAACGGAGTTTATTATTTTCTAAATATATATTTCAAGCAAACATTTTGTATTTATTATTATTATTATTACTATTATTATTATTATTATTATTTTGAGACGGAATCTCGCTCTGTCACCAGGCTGGAGTGCAGTGGCACGATCTTGGCTCACTGCAACCTCCGCTTCCTGGGTTCAAGCGATTCTCCTGCCTCAGCCTCCCGAGTAGCTGGGATTACAGGCACGCGCCACCAAGCCCCGCTAATTTTTGTATTTTTAATAGAGACGTGGTTTCACCATGTTGGTCAGGATGGTCTCGATCTCTTGACCTCGTGATCTACCCGCCTCGGCCTCCCAAAGTGCTGGGATTACAGACATGAGCCACTGTGCCTGGCCTTGTATTTATTTTCTAATGATCTTTTATTATAAATCATAATCTTAAAAATAAAGAAAAAATTAAACCATCGGAGCATTTGGCTGGATTACAATTCATAAGTGCTGACATCTAGTGGTTGTTACTATTCTTTAATAAAGTACTATCCAGGTAGTACAGTATTATGATGCTGGCTACATCGTGATACTTGATTTAAAAGTATTTACTTCAAAATTTAGGTCATACTATTTCTCTTTGTAAAACTGATGCATTTGAAATACTTTGGTTAAGAAAAATCATTCTGAAAATTTGGAATTAAACACAGAGTTTTCAAACTTTTTTCCCCTGCAAGTATGCGATTCACAAGTACAGTACTCTTCCATGATAACGTCCTGCTGCATGCAGTGGTTTTCAACAAGGGCCTGGAAGACAGATGAGAAGTCCTAAGAGATGGGTAAGAAGTTGTCCAAACCCCTTGAAACTTACTATTTTTAAGTTTTTCTTTTGTGTCTGCTTAGGAAGGCAGAGAGAATCACTGGCTAGTCATGATGCTTAAATTCATTGGGATTTCCTGGAAGCTTAGCTTTGGTATCATTTGATAATCACAAAGAGCATTTAGAATGAAAAGATATAGGCCAGGCATAGTGGCTCACACCTGTAAACCCAACACCTTGGGAGGCCGAGGGAGGATTGCTTGAGCCCCGGAGTTTGAGACCAGCCTGGGCAACAAAGTGAAGTGAGACCCTGTCTCTGAAAAAAAAAAAAAAAAAAAAAAAAAAAAGAAAGAAAAGAAAAGAGAAAGAATTATCCAGGTATGGTGGTGTGTGTGCCTGTGATCCCAGCTACATGGGAGGCTGTCAGGAGGATCACTTGACCTGAGGAGGTTGAGGCTGCAGTGAATCATGAGCCAAGGTTGTGCCACTGTATTCCAGCGTGGGTGACAGAGCAAGAACCCAAAAAAGAATGAAAACATACTTATTAGGCATGTGCCATTCCTAGCCTTGCCCTAGGGACACAAGATGAATTCGTGTGAATCTTACTGTTGACCAATTTTAACGTAAGAAAAACGAATGTCATTAAATAATTGCAATTTATTATGACAGGTAGAATAGGTGAACTATGGTAAGGAAATGTAAAACATATGGGAAGAAATTGGAGGGAAGAAGAAAAACTTCACATAGGAGCGATCTCTAAACCAGGTCTTGAAGATCATGAATTACCAAGGTGACAAAAGATAGGCATTCTAGACAGTCACTTATTCATTAGCCACTCAATAAATATTTATTGAGCACCTACCATATGCCTCATGGGGTACAGAATGTGCCAAGGCTAGAGATATAAATGATATTTTAGAGCATATTATCGCTAAAGCAGCAAATAGAAGAAATTGGGGGAGCAGTAGGAGATGAAGGTATGCAGTGGAGAAAGGCAAATCTGATATCAAACCTAATATCTACCACACTTACTTGCTATATAACCTAAGAAAGTAACATAGGCTTACAAAATATTATTTACCCCATCTGTACAATGCAAGACTGTTTTACAAGTTATTGTGAAAGTTAAATGAGCTAATAAATGTTAAAGTTCCTTGTGTGGATTAAAGACTAAAATGTTAGTCATTGTATCCATCAGCTTTTGCTACTTGATAAACAACCAGAAAAATATTTGTCGTATGATTTTCTTGCTCATTGATTTGCAGGCCAACTGCAGATCTAGGCTAGGGTTGGCTAGGCTACAGGATTCTGCTTTAGGTTGTGGGTCTAGCCCACTTATCTCATTCTGGGCTCAGACTGTAGGGACAGAGACTACCAGGGTATGTTTTTCTCATGGTAATGGCAGAAGCAAAAGGTCTAACCATGCAAGTCCCTTTCAAGTCTTTGCTCATGTCACATCGCTAACATCCCATTGGTCAAAGCAACCACATGATCGATCGAGTTCAAAGTCAAAGGGCCAGGAAGTGCTCTCTACCTCCCTAGAGCCATCACATGGTGTATACTTAGACAATGCTACCAAGGGGAATAAGATTTTGGGATGATTTATTTTGTAATATGTCTTTTATCACAATAGCTTTATGTATCATCCTAAGGAGCTTGGACTTCATTCCACAGGCAATGGGGAAAGACCTGACCAAATCTGTGATTTTAGAAAGCTGGTTCTCCTGATACCATGAAAGGTAGAATTGAAAGGGAAAGAGACTAGAAGCAAAAATATCAGTTGCAGTGATTTCTTAGTCTATAGATGACAAAGGTCTGAACTGGAAACGTCCCCTGCCCACCATATATGCATAGATGCAGGAGACTCTATTAAAAAAAGAGGAGATAGCCTGGACGTGATGGCTCATGCCTGTAATCCTAGCATTTTGGGAGGCTCAGATGGGTGGATCACCTGAGGTCAGGAATTCGAGACCAGCCTGGCCAACATAGTGAAATCCCATCTCTACTAAAAATACAAAAATTAGCTGGGCATGGTGGCAGGTGTCCATAATCCCAGCTACTCAGGAGGCTGAGGCAGCAGAATTGCTTGAACCCACGAGGTGGAGGTTGCAGTGAGCCAAGATCATGCCACTTCACTCCAGCCTGGATGAAAGAGCGAAACTCCATCTCAAAAAATAAAAAATAAAAATAAATGAAAATAAAAAAGAAGAGATAGCAATACAATAAAGTTTTGGGTCTGAATCCTTAAGGATTTTTTAGTTTTATTTTATTTGCTTTGTGTTTTAAAATTATTGAATGTATCTGATCAGAGCAGTTCTTCCTAAGGCCACAGAATTTAGACTTGATAAACTAAACATACACCTAAATCACATAAACCAATTTCTTTGTCTTACAAATGTAAAAAGTGAAGCTCTAGCAGAGGTCTGCTGGAGGTGGCTCATACTGGCTTGTGAGTGTCAATTGTTAAATTTTCAGGAGTCTTATGAGGGAGCTGATTTGCACAGCCATCATTAAAAATTGTTATGTAAATTTATGATGAAATAAGTTCTACTAAAACTAAAAGTAATTGCTTCTGCTTCCAAGTAACTGGATTTACTTGCCCACCTGAAAGAAATCAGAAACTCAGATAAAACATAAGAAAGAACAGTTTTCTAGACCCTGGATATCTGATAACAAAAGACAGTGATCCCTAAAAAAGAGAAATAAATGAGGCAAGCCCTGTAACTGCCCAAGCTTAATGCCTTGAGAAAGGTTTCAGGCCATGGAGCAAAGAGGGAGAACCCAGGCAGAGTCCAGAACTCTGAGAATTGAGGAGATAGAGCTGAGAGCCCACGAAGACCAACACAGAGTTCTCAGGACAAAGCAGCACAGAGGAAAGATTTGCGCTGAGAGAGAACCTCAGAGTTCTGCAAAAAGCTTCTCTGGAGTAATTAGCAGGACACTGATCAGCACATGCATATAAAGAAATTACCTGAGGCTGGCGAAATAACTATCTGAAAGGATTAGAGGGAATAGTATTCTATACTCACACAGGGACTGAAATAGTGCCAGTTATCACCAGCCAGACAGGAAAAATTCATAATTCGGGTAGAATATTCAGAAGGGTCTTGCCTCAGTAGTGGAGAATAATTAACCCTAAACTAAATGCTGCTTTGGCCCCATCTTAAAAAAAAACTTAAAATGGAGACCCAAAAAGAACAAACTGTTTTCAAGTAAACTACATCTCAGAAAAAGCTCAAGAAAGTTTATAGGAATGAAAAAAAAATGCAACACTCAACAAGGTAAAATATATAGTATTCAGGCTAAGACTATGAGGAATATAAAGCAGACAGATAAGATAAGAAAAATCAATCAATTAAAACTAACTCAAAACACATATAGAGGTTACAACTAGCAGAAAAAGATAGTAAAACAGTTATTTTAGGCTGGGCGTGGTGGCTCACGCCTGTAATCCTAGCAGTTTGGGAGGCCGAGGCAGGCAGATCACCTGAGGTTGGGAGTTAGAGACCAGCCTGACCAACATGGAGAAACCCAGTATCTACTAAAAATACAAACTTAGCCAGGTACGGTGGCGCATGCCTGTAATCCCAGCTACTCAGGAGCTCGAGGCAGGAGAAGTGCTTGAACCCATAAGGCAGAGGTTGCGGTGAGCCGAGATTGTGCCATTGTACTCCAGCCTGGGCAACAAGAACAAATCTCTGTCTCAAAAACAAACAAACAAGCCAACAAACAAAAAACAGTTATTTTAACTATATCCCATTTTAAGCACCAACATAGAAGGTATAAAAACACCCAAATAGAATTTCTAGAGATGAGAACTATAGTGTCTGAGGTGAAAAAATACACTAGATTGGATTAATAATTGATTAGACACTGAAGAAGAAAAGACTGATGAACTTGACAACGTAGCAATAGAAACTATCCACAATGAAACCCAAAGAGTAAAAGAATTTTTTTTTTTTTTTTGAGACAGGTTCTCACTCTGTCACACAGGTTGGAGCACAGCAGTGTGAGCACAGCTCATTACAGCTTCGAACTCCTGGACTCAAGTGATCCTCCTGCCTCAGCCTCCCAGATAGCTGGGATTGCAGGTGCACACCACCACATCAGGATAATTTTTAAAATTTTTGTAGAGACGGGGGTCTGGCTATGTTGCCCAGGCTACTTTCAAACTCCTGGCCTTAAGTGATCCTCCCAGCTCAGCCTCCCAAAGTGCTGAGATTATAGGGTGTGAGCCACTGCACCCAGCGTGGATTTTTTTTTTTTAATGGAAAGAACATCATTGAATTTTGGGATTGAAACAGCCCAAATATCAATAGTTGGCTAGGTAAACAAATTATCAAATTATATCCATGGATGTAGATGGGTGTATATCTTATTTGCTTGACCAATGATAAAATATATAATTAATTATATGTAAATTTTAAATTCCATGAAACTATTAAGTTAAATAGTATACCAATGTGTTTAGTTCATGTTCTTTCTGATAATGGAACTGAATCTAGTATTTTTATTTTTGTGGGTCTCAGATAAATATTGAGATGGGTACATTTGAAAGGCAGGGAGAAGACCAGTTGTGGTGGCTCAAGCCTGTAATCCCAGCACTTTGGGAGGCAGAGGTGGGCAGAGCATATGGGGTCAGGAGTTCAAGACCAGCCTGACCAACATGGTGAAACCCCATCTCTACTAAAAAGACAAAAAATTAGCTGGGCGTGGTGGTGCATGCCTGTAATCCCTCTACTCCAGAGGCTGAGACAGGAGAATTGCTTGAACCTGGGAGGTGGAGGTTGCAGTGAGCTGAGATGGTGCCATTGCATTCCAGCCTGGGGAACAAGAGAAGAAAGAAAGAAAGAAAGAGAGAGAGGGAGAAAGAGAGAAAGAGAGACAGAAAGAGAGAGAGAGAGAGAATGCAACATAAAGAACCCTCTTCCTTGTTTTAGATAACTTTAGTGTTAACTAAGATACAGATACTAGCATCTGAAATCAATTTTATAAAAGGAGAAAAATGAGGTGCTGAGGGGTTAAATGTCTTCACACAGCCCCTTAGGGCAAAAATGAACTGAGTCTGTGTCCTTTGATTCCTAGATCAACAAACCCTCTATCTTGACTGCTTAACTTATGATCTTGTATTATCCATTCAAATCACAAAATCCAATCTCTTGATAAATGTTATGGAAGAACATCTTTTTTTTTTTTTCAAGACAGGGTCTCATTCTGTTGCCTAGGCTGGAGTGCAGTGACACAATATCAGCTCACTGCAGTCTAGACCTCCACGGCTCAAGCGATCCTCCTACCTTAGCCTCCCAAAGTGCTGGGTTTACAGGCGAGAGAGCACTGAGCCCAGCTGGAAGAACATATTTATGTTACTTTTGGCATTTATTCATGACTGCAGTCCATGCAGTTGATGGAGATTTTCATTTTTGGAGCCTTTTTACAACAGATATTATTAGGGAAATTATGAAAGCCTTACAGGGTGATAGAGAATCTTTTGACAAATCATAAACCTCTAGAAATGTAGTTTTGTGAAAGAGTATGTTTTTGCATCTCTTGTAGTTCTCTAGAGACAGAAGACTGGCAAAGAGATGAAAATTTTAAATGCTGAAGATTTAAAACATACTTGAATTTCTAAAGCTGCAGAAGCAACTGAATAATTTAGTCCAGTCAGGGGTTTTATAGGGCTCACTTCTAATATTAGACAAATCAGCTCACTCATCTCTAGCTGACCTATTTGTTCATCCATCCAAGTCATTACCCTAATCTCTCTATAGCTTCTGTGTTCTGTAAGGTAATTAGCACATATGGGATCCATTCATAGCAGGCAGTGTTACTTCCTTGACAATAAGTTTAATTAATCCAAATATATACATTCATAAAAAAAACTTCCTTCCCCAAAAGGAGTAGCTGATTGATTACATGGCAACGGGTAAGGAATACCTTGGTGATGGTGATCACACAAATGCGAGCCCCTTTCACTCCAGACATGAGTACTGCTCTATAAGTGACCTTTTGGCTACATCACCGGGTATGTCCAGTACCTTATGGGGTTGTACCCAGATGGCTGTTCCCACTTATCCATTATACTATATTAGCACCCTTATATATCTTTTGAAATTATATATGAGGCCAGGCATGGTGGCTCAGGCGCCTGTAATCCCAGCACTTTGAGGGGCCGAGGTGTGTGGATAACTTGAGCTCAGGAGTTTGAGACCAGCTTGGGCAACATGGTGAAACCCTGTCTCTACAAAAAAAAAAAAAAAAAAAAAAAAGCCAGGCACAGTGACACAGGCTTGCAGTTGTAGGAACTATAATCTAGAGGAAATATATGTGTTTATATATTGATTATTTATACATATTTTATATATCATTAACATACATAAACATATATTTTACATATTTCACATATATAAAAACACATACATGTGTATTTTACAGCATAATATAGAAGGAAAGTTTTCTTCTCTTGGATTGTTGCTTACATAGCTCTGATGTCAGGGAATAACATCAAGAAGGATGGTGAATACTCCACTTGACTTTGTCAGCAGTCTATTAGTTTACTCCTACAAACGTCATTGCCCTTATGGAAAGGACAAATCATTTACTTTTCTAAGGAACAAAATAATTTTAGTTGTCAAAGAAACAACATATAGATGGTGTGGCCATACCATTCCTTCGAGAAAAGGAGTATCATATCTTATTTAGAAGGTTATTTCTATTTCCCTGAATTCAGTGATGTATCCTCACCCCAATACTTCCTTTGAGCCAAGCTACTTTAATCTTCCCCTACTCTTTTTCCTTGCAAGGGTTGGCAAACTATGCCCTGTGTACCAAATCGGGTTTGTGGTCTGTTTTTAGACAGACCATAAACTGAGAATACTTTTTTACATTTTAAAATAGTTGTTTAAAAGAATTTTTAAAAGGAAAACATGTGACAGAGAAGAATATGTAGCTCACAAAGCCTATTTAGTATCTGGCCCTTTACAGGAAAAGTTTGCTGATCCCTATTCTAGGAGTTGACTCAAAGCCCCTAATCAGAGCATCCGCAGAAGAAAAATGGTCTAGGCTTGGCTCTTATTAACCCTAGATTTTAGGCAAGACCTGAATATGATTTTAGAAGAAGTATATTTCTGTATATCACTAACCAGCAAATGATACTCTTATCTAAGAAGATATTCTATAACCAACAAAACACAAATTTGAGGAACACATGGAGCATCAAAGAAGTTTGAGGACATCCACATAGTTATGTCATACCAATTCCATCCATAGAGGTAGATGGAGAGACATATGCTAGTGCCAGAAGTTATTTGCATCCATGATAATTGTGCCAGTTATGCAGCAAAATGAAGTGGGTATATGGTCCTCGGCTACTTCTTCTTGCTTATTTGCCAGACTCTTGTACTTCTGTTTACCATTTCTTCCCACTAGATTGGCAGCATTGTTAATCTCTGAGAAAGGATTCTCTGATGTTAAGAATCTTATCTACAGTACTCTTGGTTTGTTTCTACTAAGGAGACTGTCCTTTATGTGAAATATTTAGAAGGAAGGTGCAAAGATTCTCTTCTTGTCCTAAGTAATTTTATTCTTGAATAGAAAAAACTTTTCTGTATACACCATGCTTACTTGTTCTTTCTCCCAACTGTGTTGGCACCCCTTTATCCATTTTGGATAAAATCAAGACAAAGGTTTCTCTCAACATATATGCACATATACATACACACAAACATATTTGTAGTTTTCTCCCTAAACCAGGTTCATATAAAGCCATTTTTTGGTCTTGAGAGATTTTTTAAAATGTTAAAGGGAAAGAACTAAGATGAGGGTGAGAATAATCATGTCAGTACTCATCAATTTTCCCTTTCCAAACCACCTCACTCCTATTCTCATTCAGTTTTCTTTATCATCTCTGGGTTAGTGCAGAAGAATTGGTAGTGAATTAAGATATCTGCTTCCAAATGTCAGTATCGTGAGGGCTCCAGAGGACATAGGCCACAGGTATAATCAATAGCATCTATTCAATCCTGCTATGCCTGTGAGCACTGCAAATCTGTTAGCTCTTATCTGTCCACACTGAGCTTACTGCTTAACATCATGATCTCTCTATTATTGACATGCATTGAGTGCTTGTGGATTTCAATCAATTTAAATGGAATTAAATTCAGATCAAAGGGCAGGAAGACCTTACTCTGGTTGCACTGTTGTGTGGACCTGCTTGCCTGTTTCTGCACGTGAAAGTGCTGTTTCTAGTCCTTAAGTCTGAATGCATTCCTTTTTCTGTTTTATTCAGCATTAGCTTCTACCCCAGTCCTTCCTTTTGTTCTCAGATTTGATTTTTCTTTTCCTTGAGTGTGACCCTGGATACCAATTTTTGGATTTTATGAGCTTTATCATGCCTCTGCCTGAGTTTTGTGGTTGCAACATTGGCCTCTACAGTTGGCCTCTGAACCTTGCCTGCGTCTTGCTCAAGCTGTTACCAAAACTCTAGGGGTTCTGTCTGGGTCCTGCTGCTCATCACACAGAGAACCAATGACTGAGACAATAAGTATTGCCAGGGAAGAAGGCTTTAATCGGGTGCTGCAGCCAGGGATATGGGAGATCAGTCTCAAATCCATCTCCCTGACCAACTAAAATTAGGGGTTTATGTAGCAGGGAAGAAATGTAATAATGTGTTAGAAAACAGGAACTAGGGACGGGTAAGGAAACAAAATGAGCAGTCTGGCATCTCATTGTTTAGTTGCTGTGATCTGGTTGGTTTCAGTTCTCCAGTACTTTCTGAGAGGTCTGGGGGTCCTTTCTGAGGAAGCAACTCAGATAAACAAATGTAAAGGTCGATTTCTATGTTTCTTTAAAACAATTTTCAGGCTGGCATGGTGGTGCATGCCTGTAATTCTAGCACTTTGGGAGGCCAAGGCCGGCGGATCACCAGGTCCAGAGATCGAGATCATCCTTGCCAACATGGTGAAACCCCGTCTCTACTAAAAATACAAAAATTAGCTGGGTGTGGTGACATGTGCCTGTAGCCCCAGCTACTCGGGAGGCTGAGGCAGGAGAATCACTTGAACCCGGGAGAGACAGGTTGCAGTGAGCTGAGATTGCGCCACTGCACTCTGGCTTGGCAACAGAGCGAGACGCCGTCTCAGAAAAAAAAAAAAGAAAAACAAAAGAAAAAAATTTTAATGGGTCTATTGGATGGGTTTCACAGACACTCCTGATACACCGTAACGGACTGTATGAGCAAATTATGCACAGTGGAGTGATAAGAGAGGTGAGGGCACGTGCATTACTGTCCATGGTCCTGAATTTGCTGAAACACTGCAGTGGTGTTGGCTTTTCTGATCTGCCTACACTCCAATCATCTTGTTTTCCAGGCTGGTTCATGTTCCTGGCCTCTGAGTTCTGCTGTGCCACACATTGAACAAGAGCACTATTTTAAGTTGTAAAGCACTTCAGGAAGATCCTATGTGAAGACATTGAAATAGTGAACTGGGCCTGCATCTGCCACTTGAGTTATTTTCATTTGGCCAAAAGATGCTTAGAATGCAAAGAAGAATTTTAAGTGTGGACACAACTTTTAAGTCTTTTTTCCAAGTTTTATTTTCTGATCCTATCTATTTTATCCAACTATTTAACTATCTGTCAATGCACCCTGACAGCTTTATATATATGATTATCATTGTAATTATTTGCCTAGGAATTTTATATTTTTGAGTTGTTACAGAGACAGAGAAAATCTTAGGAGACTTTGATTTTAAATAAGTTTGCCACAGATGATTGAAAAACCCTGATAAATAACCATGTCATTAATGGAAGGGGAATTTTCTTCTTTTCTCTCTCTTTTCTTTCTTTCTTTCTTTTTTTCTTTTTTTTGAGACAGAGTTTCACTCTTGTGGCCCAGGCTGGAATGCAATGGCATGGTCTCAGCTTACTGCAACCTCCACCTCCCAGGTTAAGCGATTCTCCTGCCTCGGCCTCCCGAGTAGCTGGGATTACAGGCAGCCGCCACCACATCCAGCTAATTTTTTTGCATTTTAAGTAGAGACAGGGTTTCATCATGTTGGCCAGGGTGGTCTCAAACTCCTGACCTCAGGTGATCCACCCGCCTCGGCCTCCCAAAGTGCTGGGATTACAGGCATGAGCCACTGCGCCCAGCCTGTGTGTATCAATTTTATAAAACCTGGACAATTTTTCCTGTGGAGCTGAGTTGGCTTCCACCAATAAGAGCCTCAGTGGAGAGGAGACCTGAGGTGAGTAGCTCCTACCTGCTGGCAGGTTGTCCCAACGAGTGCACAGCTCTCAGAGGAGAGGAGACCTAGAGTGGGTAGCTCCTCTCCTCAGGCAGGAGAGGAGCCTGAGGAGAGGCTGCCTAGATATTTTATAGATAAAAATATATAGGAGAGGCTGCCTATTTATTTTATAGATAAAATAAATGCTTAGGGGGGCCAATGGAAGCAAGAGAACTGTGAGACTTATTGTATGTAGGGGTGAACAATTCAATGATGATGCCATGATTTCTGGCTTATACATTTGGATGGATGTAGATAAAGACTGAGATAAGGAATACAGTTAGAGTAGCAAAAATAACAAAGTGAACATTTGTTATTTTTGTGGCTACCCGGCATCTGAAATCCCTTTTCTTTTTTCTTTTTTTTTTGCTTGCTCTCCATAGTATATATAAGTCTTAGCTATAGTCAGAGTTCATTTCCCACTGTAGAAACTAAAAAGACATCGTCTGCCTGAGTCTGGCTGAGTCCGGGGGTTTTTATGGTCTTCAGACGGGAGGAAGTGCTTGCTGATTGGTCCTTGGGCGTCCATGGGCAGGCCTGGTAAAAGCATCGTAAGTTCCCACTCTGGTCTGCAGAACTAACAGCCTGGCCCCCAGGCCTCAGGCCATCCCTGGCTTGAAGGTGGGGTTTCACCGGGACTCGCACCTGCCTCCTGCTGCCGTTCATGGTGCCCAGGCTGCTTGTGCTGACGGGCACCTGCAGGCCTGTGCTGAGCTGCCCTCAGCCCCACCTTGGCCTCCCTCTTGTGCTTGTCGGTGCCCAAAGTTTGAAGGGCTCCGAGGCAGCAGGGGGCTGGTGTGTCAGTGCCACTCGGAGTGCAGCTCACCCAGCCGGGTCGTGACAGCACCCGGGCTCAGCCATAACCTTGCTCCAAAATCGGAGCAGGCACCGGGAGTGGGGAGAGGCCAGGCAGCCGGAAGCAGGCACTGCGGAACCTGCGGGGGCAGCAGGGATACTTGGGTCCGCAGCTGCAGCTGGCTGGTTGCAGCAGTGCCCAGGAGCATGGGGCTCCTGCCCCACCAACTCGGAAGGGGTAGGGTCTCCCATCTGTTCCGGGCTCCTGCCGGCTCCATAAAGCATGCAGCTCCATAAAGCGTGCAGCTCCATAAAGTGTGCAGCCCCGGGCACGCCTTCCCCGCTGTAGCCGGCGTCTTTGCAGCAGCCACTCCAAATGGGCCGCTGCTGCCATCAGAAGAGGCTACGCCCCCTAACTCCTCCGGGGGTAGCATGAGTTGAGTCATGAAGAAAGAGTAGGAGTTGTGCACATATATGAGAGTGCAGGGACATTCCAGGGAGAGGCAATAACAGCACTTACACAGATATGATGTGTGAGAGAGGATTATAAATTTAGAGAACAAGTATTTTTTTCACTATGAGAATGACGGGTTCATATAGTAGAATATTGGAAGAAGATGAAGCTGAAAGAAGAGTGGATCAAAATCATGTTTTGTGCCATTCCAGTCATCTGAATTCTGTTCTTAATGTGATGAAGAGCATTACTCACAAAGTAGGAGAACAATATGATCAAATATTAGAAAGGCATCTATGTGAGAGCAGTGTGGAAGAATGATTGTAGGGCATGAGGCCTGGCTCAGGGGAACAAAGTAGGATACAATAGCAATTATCCAAGGAGAAATTGATAAAGGCCCAATTGTGGTCATAGTAATGGGGACAGAGATAAAAAAAATAGATAAAATAAATGCTTAGGGGGGCCAATGGAAGCAAGAGAACTGTGAGACTTATTGTATGTAGGGGTGAACAATTCAATGATGATGCCATGATTTCTGGCTTATACATTTGGATGGATGTAGATAAAGACTGAGGTAAGGAATACAGATAGAGTAGCAAAAATAATAAAGTGAACATTTGTTATTTTTGTGGCTACCTGGCATCTGAAATCCTTTTTTTTTTTTTTTTTTTGCTTGCTCTCCATAGTATATATAAGTCTTAGCTATAGTCAGAGTTCATTTCCCACTGTAGAAACTAAAAAGAAAGTCTCACTTTCCTGGCCTCCTATGCAGGTAGGGCACAAGCATGTGTCCTAGGCCCAACCAATCAGACGCTCTAGTCCCAGAGTTTACACTGAAAACCAATGATATAAAGGATGAGTTCTCCAATCCCTTCTTGTGGTGGCAGTAGCAGTAGTAGAAGTTCTGCTATAGCACCCAGGGTTGCTGCCAGCAGGTAATAGTTGATAGCTGCCTTGTGGCTCTGGTAGCTGGCATTCATCATCAGTTCCATCAGCTACTTGCTGTGGAGTAATCCTCATTGTAACCCTAGCTGCTGTCCAAGTTTCCTGGGACATACCTGGTTCTCCTGCCTGGCTGTCTAGGCTTCCTTGTAACTCTTCTTCAGCTTAAGTCAGTCAGAGTAAGTTTCCATTGCATGCAATGATGTTTTTAACAGATACTAGAAAACTTGGAGAGTAAATGATATGGAGCTGCAGAGAAAATATTTTTGTTTTTGCATAATGAGGGCACAGCAAATATCACTGAAGCTTGGCTCTAACAAGCTTGAAAAGTAATTTATGGCTAATTAAATAGAGAATTCCATGGGATGACACAGTAAGAATGATACCAGAAGCTGGTATCTTGATGTTGGACTTTCCAGCCTTCAGAACTGTGAGAAATACATTTCTTTTCTTTGTAAATCACCCAGTCTGTAATATTCTGTTATAGCAACACAAAATAGACTAAAACTGAGTAAGAATTTGGAGTGGTAATAAACTAGAAGAAATAGGATCAAAGTTGTGCTAAGAAAAAAGTTGTACTGGTTGAGGACTGATAGTTGGGGAGAAATGGGAGCAAAGAACTGAGAGTTCAACAGCTGGGGAATACACATCCTTAAGGATAGGTTCTAATCCAATAACCAGGAAATCAGACTATGAAGACTTTTCCTCTTGAACCTCATTCATACCAACAAATACTTGTGTTCCTGCACTTGCCAGGTACTATGTTACATTTTGAAGACATAGCAGTGAACAAAAATAAACAAATGTCCTGCTCTCAAAGATCATACATTTCAGTGGGAGGTGACAGATATACAACTATACGTGTCGAGTAGAGATAAATATAATTGGAAAAAATAAAACAGGATGAAAGGTCCAGAAAATGACAGGAGTAGTCAGATGGAAGAAAGAGTAGTATTAATTTATATAGGATAGTGGTCCAGAAACATCTGTCTATCATTGAGACAGAAAGTAGGCCAGGCATGGTAGCTCATGCCTGTAATCCCAGCACTTTGGAAGGCTGAGGCAGGAGGATCACTTGAGGTCAGGAGTTCAAGGTTAGCCTGGCCAACATGGTGAAACCCTGTCTACTAAAAATATGAAGAAAACATAGCCAGGCGTGGTCGTGGGCGCCTGTAATCCCAGCTCGGGAGGCTGAGGGAGGAGAATCACTTGAACCCAGGAGAGGGAGGTTGCAGTGAACCGAGATTGTGCCACTGCACTCCAGCCTGGGCAACAGAGGGAGTCTCCATCTCAAAAAAAAAAAAAAAAAAAAAAAGGCCAGGTACGGTGGCTCACGCCTGTAATCCCAGCATTTTGGGAGGCCGAGGTGGGTGGATCACGAGGTCAGGAGATCGAGACCATCCTGGCTAACATGGTGAAACCCCATCTCTACTAAAAACACAGAAAATTAGCTGGGTGTGGTGGCGGGCACCTGTAGTCCCAGATACTCAGGAGGCTGAGGCAGGAGAATGGCATGAACCTGGGAGACAGAGCTTGCAGTGAGCTGAGATTGCGCCACTGCACTCCAGCCTGGGCAACAGAGCGAGACTCCGTCTTAAAAAAAAAGAAAAAAAGTAGAATGGAAGTTGCCAGGGGCTACAGGTAGGGGGAAATGAAGGAGTTAGTATGTAATAGGTAAATTTCTATTTTGCAGGATGAAAGAAGCTCTGGAGGTGAATGGTGGTGATGGTTGTACAACAATGTGTATGTGCTTAATACCACTTGTCTGCACACTTAAAATGGTTAAGGTGGTCGATTTTATGTTATATAAATTTTGCCACAAATTTTTAAAAAGAGAGAAAGAAAGATCTCTCTGATAAGGAGATATTTGAGCAGAAGCCTGAGGGAAGTGAGAAAGTAAGCTGTGTGAACATCTGGGGCAGAGCAAGAAGAGATTGACAGGATAATAGTAGCTCTCAGCACCATTTGGGAGCATAGAGTGAACCCCAGCTGAAAGCTTCAGAAAAATGAAAAAAAAAAAAAACACTTGTTCACAAACTTTTTTGATACCTCTGTTCTAATTAAATGTCAGGGGTGTGATTTGAGTTCCTCCAACGTCATCATTCTCTTGTCTGTGCTGGGAGACATCCTCTCTGCGTGCAGGAGAGAAAAGAAATTTATCTGCCATTTAAAGTCTGATAAGAGAAGAGAATGAGTCTGTTTTCTGGGATCTGTGCTCATCACCCAGGCTGGCTGCTGATGGGATTCTCTCTCTTACTCAGCACACATATGTGCTCTTATAGCCTGGGCTGGTAAGGCAAACTGTAAACTCAGGTATATGAGAACTGAGAGGATGCCTTGAAGAATGCAAAGTTAAAATATCTTTGACCTTAATCTTATTTTGTTTCCTAGTCAGTAGTCTCAGGGCTCTTTGTACTGGGGACAGTGAACACATTTAACATATGTTGGCTGCTTTTTTGTGGTCCACGAGCCACAATACTTACATTCGATGTTGTATGTATAAATATGGGGGAGATGGTGGAGAAAAAGAGGAAGAGGATTACACCATTAACAAAAAGGAATACCCAAGTTAACCAGCAGACACGTGTATTTTTTTGTTGTTGTTTTGTTTTTTTTGAGACACAGTCTTGCTCTGTCACCCAAGCTGGAGTGCAGTGCTGCAATCTTGGCTCACTGCAACCTCTGCCTCCTGGGTTCAAGCGATTCTCCTGCCTCAGCCTTCCGAGTAGCTGGGACTACAGGTGTGCGCCACCATGCCCGGCTAATTTTTGTATTTTTAGTAGAGACGGGGTTTCATGATGTTGGCCAGCTGGTTTCGAACTCCTGACCTCATGATATGCCTGCCTCGGCCTCCCAAAGTGCTGGGATTACAGATGTGAGCCACTGTGCCTGGCTGACACGTGAATTTTGTGATTCCATTTGGGTCAATATGACTACTAAAAATTGCACCAAGGCCTGTTTCTCACCGAGTATGCTTTTCACTGAAGACAGTCCACACATACAGCAACCAAACAACTTCAGAAGGAGCCTCATGCTTCCAAAGGTTGTGGAGCATCACAAGTAACCAGTTCAGTTCAGCTCCTTTAACCTTAGCCTTGCTTGGCTTCTGACCCTTGTATATGGCTCATGGACCAGCCAGAGATATGAGCAGAACTTAAATACAAATTGGGGCTCTCCTGCATTGGCTCATCCTTTCCAGAATATCCCTACTCACTTTCTAACAGCTGAGCTTGCCTGTAATCTGTTTTCTGGTTCTTCAAGCTGGTAAGGCAGTGATTTTCTCCTTTAGTTTTAGCTCTCATGCCAATTGGAATCTGCTTCAGTTCCTTCAAGGGCAGGAAACTCACTTTTTGATCTCTTCTTCCAAATGTTGACTCTCTTTCCATTTCTGCCTGGTTTATTCCCTTTCTAGTGCCTTTAGGTAGCTCTTTTTATATATATTTTCCACCATTTCCTGTAGGAATGTAGGTTTGGTGGGAGCTAGACAGCCAAGCTCCTTACTCGGTTTTCACTCCTTGGTTCATCACTATAGATACTCCCTTGCACCTATTTTGAACTTCTTTGCCCCTCTCCTCCCTCATCATTCTCACTGGCAATACCTGAGGCTTGATTAAATACAACTTTCCACCTGCTCTGAAATTACACCCAAGCAGCTGAATTTGATAAAAATACAACCCTATGCTGACTGATCTCACATTAAATGTATGTCCTAACAGAACTAGTACACTTCCTTAGTTGATTCCTGCTCTTATTCTCCTAAGCAACTATCTCCATACTGTCTTCTCTTTCTACTAGCCCCAACATCTGTTTACTACACTCCAATTTCAGCTTGCTATTTATTTAATGATATAATAGAAGTAATAAGAGAATATCTGCATGTTCCCACTATCAAATCTACTAACTGCTGTTTACTGTGCTCCACTTTCAGCTTGCTATTTATTCAATGACATAATAGAAGTAATAAGAAGAAAATGGCTGCCTGTTCCCAACATCACATCTACTAACTGTCTGCTCCTATACTGATGAATCAATCTTGCACCCCCTCCCTCCTGTTACATATGGTATCTGTTCATGTTCCTCACTGAGGCCTCTCTTAAGCACTGGGCTCCATCCTCACTTCCCTGTTCACAAAGGGTAACTGTCCTCTCTCTGGTATTATCCATTTTTTCCCTCTAAATTTATTATTTCTATCAGTATACAAACATGTTATAATATTGTCCAACTTAAAAAAAACTACCTGCTGCTGCCTCCTCCCGCCATTGAGCCTAACTGCTATCCCCATTTCTCTAGTCCCTTTTAAAATAAAACGAATTGGGTTGGGCATGGTTGCTCATGCCTGTAATCCAGCACTTTGGGAGGCCACAGAGGGCAGATTGTTTGGGCTTGGGCCCAGGAGTTCGAGACCAGCCTGCAACATGGTGAAACCCTGTGTCTACAAAAAATACAAAAATTACCCAGGCATGGTGGTGCCTCCCTGTAGTCTCAGGTACCTGGGAGGCACACGTAGGACCACCTGAACATGGGGAGGTTGAGGTTGCTGTGAGCCGAGATTGTGACACTGCACTCCAGTCTGGGCGACAGAGGAGACCCTGTCTCAAGTAAAATAAAATAAAACAAATTGTGAAAGAAGTATCTATTCTGGGCCGGGCGCGGTGGCTCACGCCTATAATCCCAGCACTTCGGGAGGCCAAGGCAGGCAGATCACAGGTCAAGAGATCGAGACCATCTTGGCCAACATGGGGAAACCTTGTCTCTACTAAAATACAAAAAATTAGCCAAGTGTGGTGGTGCATGCCTGTAGTTCCAGCTACTTGGGAGGCTGAGGCAGGAGAATCACTTGAATCCAGGAGGCAGAGGTTGCAGTAAGCCGAGACTGCGCCACTGCATTCCAGCCTGGTGACAGAGCAAGACTCCATCTCAGAAACAACAACAACAAAAAGAATTATTTATTCTGTCTGCCACCACTTCACCTCTCACCCTGTCTTTTTATTTTAAAAGTCATTAGGCAATACTTTTTAAAAATTAATTATTTTTTTTTTGAGATGAAGTTTTGCTCTAGTTGTCCAGGCTGGAGGGCAATGGTGTGATCTCAGCTCACTGCAACCTCCGCCTCCTGGGTTCAAGCAATTCTCTTGCCTCAGCCTCCCAAGTAGCTGGAATTATAGGCCACCACACCCGGCTAATTTTTGTATTTTTAGTAGAGACGGGGTTTCACCATGTTGACCAGGCTGGTCCTGAACTCCTGTCCTCAGGTGATCCACCTGCCTCGGCCTCCCAAAGTGCTGGGATTACAGGTGTGAGCCACTGCACCCAACCCTGGCAATAAATTTATATAAGTTCACAATTCAGAAGCTAAAAGAGTGCACACAGTGTTTCTGTCTCTCAAGCAAGTCATCTTTCAACCTAGAGACAATTAATGTCAGTCAGCAGTTGTGCAAGCATATAGCATATACAAGCAAATATGTAGTCTTATCCTTATTTTCTTTTTTCTTTCTTTTTTTTTTTGGAGACAGAGTCTTGCTCTGTTGCCCAGGCTGGAGTGCAGTGGTGCAATCTCAGCTCACTGCAGCCTCCACCTCCCAGGTTCAAGTGATTCCCCTGCGTCAGCCTCCCAAGTACCTGGGATTATAGGTGCATGCCACCATGCCTGGCTAATTTTTTGTATTTTAGTAGAGACAGGGTTTCACTGTGTTGCCTAGGCTGGTCTCAAACTCCTGACCTCGTGATCCACCTGCCTCAGCCTCCCAGTGTTAGGATTACAGGTGTGAGCCACTGTGCCTGGCCCTTATTTTCTTATAATGTTAACATATTCTAAATTCTCTTCTGCACCTTGATTTTTTTCTCACTTAATCTGTCTTGGAAATTATTTTGGATCAGTGAAGACTTCCATGTCATATAAAGAAATAGATTCCTCATTGTTTTTATCACACATGGAAGCATATTATACATCACTATTTAACTAGTTACAGTACATTTGAGTAGCTAAAATTATAGTATTTATTTTTCTTTTTCTGTTTTCTATACTAGAATGTAAACCCAGGAGGAAAGGGATATTGTCTTTTTTTTTTTTTTTTTTTGGAAACAAGGTCTCACCCTGTCACCTAGGCTGGAGTGCAGTGGCACTATCATGGCTCACTGCAGCTTTGACCTCTTAGGCTCAAGTGACTCTTTTGCCTCAGCCTCCCGAGTAGCTGGTACAAAAGGTGCCACAATGCCTGGCTAATTTTTTATTATTTTTTTGTAGAGATGGGTTTTTGCCATGTTGCCCAGGCTGGTCTCAAACTCCTGGGCTCAAGCGACTTGCAAGCCTCAGCTTCTCAAAGTGCTGGGATTATAGGCATAAGCCACCATGCCCAGTCATCTGTCTTATTTAATACTATATTCTCAATAACTAGAACAGTATCTGGAATGAAATGCACAATAAATATGTGTTCAGTGAATAAAAATGTACACGTCTTAATTGTTTTTGTGGTATCTTTGCTTCTTTCCCATCTGCACCACCAGCTCTGATTTGTTATTTTCTTGTGGACAAGGACAGTACCTTATATGTATCAGAATCTCTTTCAGCCTGAAACACAGGCTTTGCACCTGTTTCATTCATTGACTACATGATGAAATAAAGATTTGGAGTAATAAAGAGGCGTCAACAGGATGAAATCCCGTTTCTTTTAGTCTCGCAGTCCGATTATATCTTCCAAAAATATTTAAAGTTAAAATCAATATGATTATAAAAAGCTGTTCAGGAATAGAATAACTATGCAGTTGCCCTAAGCCCATGTGCTAGCCTAGTAGCACTTCTCTGAGTATCAGGGTATGCAGTACATGGCCTTGTGGTCCCTGAGTGTGAATCAGACCCCTTCCCACCCTCAATGCTCCTGGGCACATTTCCTTCCAGAAACAGGGTGGTCAGAATCATAGAATCCTCTGACAGAAAGCTCTTCCAAGCAGCACTAGATATGAGCACAGGAGTGCAGCTGATTATTACTCCTGCTGTTGCACAGGCATTTGATCTAGAGCATCCGCTTCTCCATTCATCCGCCCTCCTATCCCCATCCTTACCTAAACTCTCCCCACAATGACTCAGGAAGTATAAGTGGATCTATTGTGTTGAAATTCAGGGAGAGAGAAACTAAAGATTCTGTATAGATTATTTAGGAAGATGAGAGAAAAATCACTTATCTTTAGTGCTCAACCAGGAAAGTGCCATGAAGTATCAAAGCTTTGCTAAATTCTACTTATAAATCTGTGTAATTGCATTCCCAGGTAGACATGTTACAGGTAGTTGTAGAGAAAAGAGATCCAACTATCTCTGTTGTCTTTCTACACGGATTTGCATAAGAAGTTGAGCCCCCACCTTTGTAAATGCTGTAGGCATATTAAGTCATAGGTGAAATTTTAAAGAACAAGTGCCCTAAATGTTGAAATGTCGGGGTTAAACTCGAAGTGTGGGATTAGGCAGGGAGCAGGTTAAGGAACAGAAGTCAATAATTATGGTAGAGCTGAGATTAAATAAGGACTTTGGAATAGTGAGATATATCTAGCTGAAACAAAGCTATTAAGGAAATTTCTCCATTTTTGATCACCTGAAATTTACCACCTCCAAGGCTCAGAGTGGGGAGGCTGATCAGGTAGTCTTGACCTTGTCTGAAATGGCCAATTTGGATCAAGACAGTTGTGGGGAAGCACAGCCTTCTATGGTGGCTGTTGCAGAGGACAGAGGAGATGGCAACTTCTGTTACATCAGCTTATTTTTTCCTAAAAGCAACAAGTGCTAAGATATTCATTTAATTGAGACTTCCTGGGAGCTAAAAATGAAGGATTCAGGGGATAAATGCAAGGCTGGAAGGATAAATAAAAGAAGCAAAAAAATTAGCAGATGATTTCAACATGATAGGTGTCAAGGATGTGCCAAATATGCCAAGACTGGGTGCAATGGCTTATGCCTGTGATCCCAGCACTTTGGGAGGCCAAGGTGGGAGGATCACTTGAGGCCAGGATTTTGAGACCAGCCTTCACAGCACATTGAGACCCTTGTCTCTACAAAATCAACAACAACAACAACAACAAAAAACTACCTGGGTGTGACAGCCCATGTCAGTAACCCTAGTTGCTTGAGAGACTGAGGCAGGAGGATCGCTTGAGCCCAGCACTTCAAGGTTACAGTGAGCTACGACTGCCACTGCACTCCAGCCTGGGTGATAGAGTGAGACCCTGTCTTAAAAAAAAAAAAAAAAGAAGAATGTGCCAAATATGGATGTTATTTTCTAGACACAGACTTTTAGAATTGAATAAATAAGTGCATATCCTCTGCATTAGCCAAATTATTTTACAAGTCTAGGCTCCCAGCTTTTGAGGAACTGCATCTCTCAGGCATATGTTTCCTAAGAGAGGAGCTTATTTAAATAGTTTGATCTTGCACTCTGGTTCAAGAATGGGTAATGAAGAAAAGATCTGCACATGCCGGTAATTCCAGCACTTTGGGAGGCTGAGGCAGGCAGATCATGAGGTCAAGAGATGGAGACCATCCTGGCTAACATGGTGAAACCCTGTCTCTACTAAAAATACAAAAATTAGCTGGACGTCGTGGTGCGTGCCTGTAATTCCAGCCACTTGGGAGGCTGAGGCAGAAGAATCACTTGAACCCAGGAGGCAGAGGTTGCAGTGAGCTGAGATCGTGCTACTGCACTCCAGCCTGGGCAACAGAGCAAGACTCCGTCTCAAAAAAAAAAAAAAAAAGAAAGAAAGAAAGAAAAAGAAAAAGAAAAGATCTACAATGCGAGACTGTTTTTGTCACCATGAAATGCAAAATGAAATAAGGGAAATAAGACAGATACTGTTATTATTCTCATTTTGCAAATGACAAAAATGGAAGCTTCCCGGGGTTAAGGAAGTTTTTCCAAAGTACAAGGTTAGTAGGGGCAGAACCAGGAATTCTAACTCAGGTTGTTTTCCTCTGAAACCAAAAGGGCTCAATTAACTGGCAATTATTATAAGACTGAAAAGGTTTATTGAAAACAGAGAGTGCCAGACTTTGAATAGCATTCTTAGGAGTTTAGATTTTTATTTTACTTATTTATTTATTTATTTTTCTTCTTTTATTATTATACTTTAAGTTCTAGGGTACATGTGCACAACGTGCAGGTTTGTTACATATGTATACATGTGCCATGTTGGTGTGCTGCACCCATTAACTCATCATTTACATTAGGTGTATCTCCTAATGTTATCCCTCTCCGCTTCCTCCACCCCACGACAGGCCCCGGTGTGTGATGTACCCCTTCCTGTGTCCAAGTGTTCTCATTGTTCAGTTCCCACCTATGAGTGAGAACATGCGGTGCTTGGTTTTTTGTTCTTGGGATAGTTTGCTGAGAATGATGGTTTCCAGCTGTATCCATGTCCCTACAAAGTACATGAACTCATCCTTTTTTATGGCTGCATAGTGTATTCCATGGTGTATATGTGCCACATTTTCTTAATCCAGTCTATCATTGATGGACATTTGGGTTGGTTCCAAGTCTTTGCTATTGTGAATAGTGCCGCAATAAACATACGTGTGCATGTGTCTTTATAGCAGCATGATTTATAATCTTTTGGGTATATACCCAGTAATGGGATGGCTGGGTCAAATGGTATTTCTAGTTTTAGATCCTTGAGGAATCACCACACTATCTTCCACAATGGTTGAACTAGTTTACAGTCCCACCAACAGTGTAAAAGTGTTCCTATTTCTCCACATCCTCTCCAGCACCTGTTGTTTCCTGACTTTTTAATGATTGCCATTCTAACTGGTGTGAGATGGTATCTCATTGTGGTTTTGATTTGCATTTCTCTGATGGCCAGTGATGATGAGCATTTTTTCATGTGTCTGTTGGTTGCATAAATGTCTTCTTTTGAGAAGTATCCGTTCATATCCTTCGCCCACTTTTTGATGGGGTTGTTTTTTTCTTGTAAATTTGTTTGAGTTCATTGTAGATTCTGGATATTAGCCCTTTGTCAGATGAGTAGATTGCAAAAATTTTCTCCCATGTTGTAGGTTGCCTGTTCACTCTGATGGTAGTTTCTTTTGCTGTGCAAAAGCTCTGTAGTTTAATTAGATCCCATTTGTCAATTTTGGCTTTTGTTGCCATTGCTTTTGGTGTTTTAGACATGAAGTCCTTGCCCATGCCTATGTCCTGAATGGTATTGCCTAGGTTTTCTTCTAGGGTTTTCATGGTTTTAGGTCTAACATTTAACTCTTTAATCCACCTTGAATTTATTTTTGTATAAGGTGTAAGGAAGGGATCCAGTTTCAGCTTTCTACATATGGCTAGCCAGTTTTCCCAGCACCATTTATTAAATAGGGAATCCTTTCCCCATTTCTTGTTTTTGTCAGGTTCGTCAAAGATCAGTGGGTTGTAGATGTGTGGTATTATTTCTGAGGGCTCTGTTCTGTTCCATTCGTCTCTATCTCTGTTTTGGTCCCAGTACCATGCTGTTTTGGTTACTGTAGCCTTGTAGTATAGTTTGAAGTCTGGTAGCGTGATGCCTCCAGCTTTGTTCTTTTTGCTTAGGATTGTCTTGGCAATGTGGGCTCTTTTTTGGTTCCATATGAACTTTAAAGTAATTTTTTCCAATTATGTGAAGAAAGTCATTGGTAGCTTGATGGGGATGGCATTGAATCTATAAATTACCTTGAGCAGTATGGCCATTTTCACAATATTGATTCTTCCTATCCATGAGCATGGAATGTTCTTGCATTTGTTTGTGTCCACTTTTATTTCGTTGAGCAGTGGTTTGTAGTTCTTGAAGAGGTCCTTTAAGGAGATTCCTAGGTATTTTATTCTCTTTGAAGCAATTGTGAATGGGAGTTCACTCATGATTTGGCTCTCTGTTTGTCTGTTATTGCTGTATAAAAATGCTTGTGATTTTTGCACATTGATTTTGCATCCTGAGACTTTGCTGAAGTTGCTTATCAGCTTAAGGAGATTTTGGGCTAAGATGATGGGGTTTTCTAAATATACAATCATGTCATCTGCAAACAGGGACAATTTGACTTCCTCTTTTCCTAATTGAATACCCTTTATTTCTTTCTCCTGCCTGATTGCCCTGGCCAGAACTTCCTGGACACATACACCCTCCCAAGACTAAACCAGCAAGAAGTTGAATCCCTGAATAGACCAATAACAGACTCTGAAATTGAGGCAATAATTAATAGCCTGCCAACCAAAAAAAAGTCCAGGACCAGAAGGATTCACAGCCGAATTCTACCAGAGGTACAAGGAGGAGCTGGTACCATTCCTTCTGAAACTATTCCAGTCAGTAGAAAAAGAGAGAATCCTCCCTAACTCATTTTATGAGGCCAGTATCTTCCTGATACCAAAGCCTGGCAGAGACACAACAACAAAAAAGAGAATTTTAGACCAATATCCCTGATGAACATCGACGCAAAAATCCTCAATAAAGTACTGGCAAACCGAATCCAGCAGCACATCAAAAAGCTTATCCACCATGATCAAGTGGGCTTCATCCCTGGGATGCAAGGCTGGTTCAACATATGCAAATCAATAAACGTAATCCAGCATATAAACAGAATCAAAGACAAAAACCTCATGATTATCTCAATAGAAGCAGAAAAGGCCTTTGACAAAATTGAACAGCTCTTCATGCTAAAAACTCTCAATAAATTAGGTATTGATGGGACGTATCTCAAAATAATAATAGCTATTTATGACAGACCCACAGCCAATATCATACTGAATGGGCAAAAACTGCAAGCATTCCATTTGAAAACTGGCACAAGACAGGGGTGCCCTCTCTCACCACTCCTGTTCAACATAGTGTTGGAAGTTCTGGCCAGGAGTTTAGATTTTTAAATGTTGGAGAAAAAGGGACAGCTGCAGAGATTCTGAGGTGGGAAATGAAATGCTTCAAGTGGTTCTATAGGAAGATAACTCTGACAGAGACCAGAGAGTTCTGAAGGTGCCCCCTGCCCTTGGCATTCGTGAGCCATCTTACTGTATTAATAAATTCTTATTTAACATAAGCTAGCTGAAATTGCGTTTCTGTCAGTTAAAGCTGAAGAAATACTGTTTAATAAATCTCAGTTTGCAGAGGAGGAAACTTAAAACTAGACAGTATAAGTGAAACACAGTTTTTTGGTGTCAAGGTCAGCACTAGACTGTCCATGTCCCCGCTCTCCTAAACCACTGTACCCTGGGCAGTTAGACCTTTTACTTTTTCACTGCACTATTTGTCTTGAAGAAAAAGTGAACAAATCAATTCTTCATAGGCAATTCAAAGTGATGATTTTATGTAAATTAATTCCATACTAATAGATGTGGAAAACCAGTACTCAGATGACAGGTGCATTTGTTAAATGAATCTGGTATAGAACCATCCCATGCTTCAGATCAGGCTTGACAAGGCTCCTCATAATTCTGCTACCTAATGATTTGGAGTTAGAAACATAGCATGTTGGCTGGGTGCGGTGGCTCATGCCTGTAATCCCAGCACTTTGGGAGGCCGAGGCGGGCGAATCACGAGGTCAGGAGATCGAGACCATCCTCGCTAACACAGTGAAACCACGTCTCTACTAAAAATACAAAAAAATGACAGGGCGTGGTGGTGGGCACTTGCAGTTCCAGCTACTCGGGAGGCTTAGGCAGGAGAATGGCGTGAACCTGGGAGGCGGAGCTTGCAGTGAGCCGAGATCGCGCCACTGCACTCCAGCCTGGGCAACAGAGCAATACTCTGTCTTAAAAAAAAAAAAAAAAAAAAAAAAAAAAAAGAAACATAACATGTTCACATAAATAGTGAAATACTGAAATACACAGTAACACGTGTTCATGAATAAGTCTACTGCACCAAAGTGGAGGAAAGACAGAACCAAACATACATAATACTAATTTCAATGCCTATAACCTAGCTTTATGAGAAATGGATGACTTCAAGTTAAAATAATTGTTTTTCTCCATAAAAATCTGTTAAAAAGGGCCTTAACAACTTTTGAACTAATCTTTCTCCCTCAAAAGAACTACTCTACTCCTGTTACTGACTTTGGAGTCATCCCAAATCACTCTAACCCATTTATCCCATTGGTCATCTAGATTCCAGATTCTGCATCCTGCCCATCTACAGTATGCTCACATACATCTTTCTTTTTCACCCTCACCTTAATACAGTGTCTTGTATCCACTCACTTATATAATTTCAATAGCCTCTTAACTCATCCAGCTGTTGCCACTCTTTCCCACTGCCACCTAATTATGTTGCTCCTCACTGCTTATAGAACTGGCTTCAAGCTGCTAAGCATGTCATTCAAGGCTAACTGAAATCTGACTCATATGTTAGCCTTAATTCCCCAATTACCCATGAGCCTCAGCTAAATCAGCTATTAATGCTCAACAAGTATCAGCTGTTATTATTTGTTGTTAATCAGATTGTCCTGCTTGTTTCTATTCCCCATGTGTAAATATGACGTCTTTCAGGCATGAAATCTCCCTGATTCTACTCCCTTACTACACTGAAGTGATGATTCTCTTTCTCACCTCCTCAGGGTTTTTGGTACAACTTGAAGGACTCTCCACAGTTTGCTGTGTATTACTGTCAGATTTGTACATGTCTTAACTCTCTTTTTGGAAGTTGAACTTCTTGAGCATAAGAAAAAAATGTCTATTCTGGGGGTGCATGTGCAGGTTTTTATTCTTCAGTGTACTTCTACCTTGCATTTTGAACATACATGTATGTATTGAATTTGAAACTAAGTTACTGATGATGGAATGAAGTCACTGACACCCTTTATCTAATTAAAACGGAATGTTTAAAGAAGGCAGCATTTCACTGAAATGAAAAATAAACTCAATACAAATTAAAATAATTTTAAATACACAAGCTAAATGATACTATTTTTCTTTCTTTCTTTCTTTTTTTTTTTTTTTCAGACTGAGTCTCCCTCTGTTCCCCAGGCTGGAGTGCAATGGCACAATCTCAGATCACTGCAATCTCTGCCTCCTGGGTTCAAGCGATTCTCCTGCCTCAGCCTCCTGAGGAGCTGGGATCACAGGTGCATGCCACCACACCTGGCTAATTTTTGTATTTTTAGCAGAGACGGGGTTTCACCATGTTGGCCAGGCTGGTCTCAAACTCCTGACCTCAAGTGATCCACCTGCTATGGCCTCCCAAAGTGCTGGGATTACAGGCATGAGCCACCTTGCCTGGCCCATACTGTTTTTCTTGACACTATTACTTTTTATGTAGGAAACATGATCTTTCACGCTGCTCCCTGAAGTGATTACTAAGGTCATTGAACTTACTACAAAATTCAGAAAACACTTTCATAGGACTAATTACTGATTTTGTCTCATTTATTATGAAAGTCACAGACTTCTACAAATGTTTTAATGGTTTAAAATGTTTAATTTCTCAGTATGAGTTGCATTTTGTATGTTGTCTATCTATTGATATCCTAATGCCTCACTTTGGAAAACATAGCACTGCTTTTAATATTAGCATAAAACATGAAACTTGCGATAGATATATGAAAATTTGAAACATCAAACTTATTTAGGCATAGCCAAAAGCTTCTACTTTAGGCAATCACAATTTATGAATTTTGATTCATGGAAATACCAAAATTTACATTTCTCCTGCGAACTAATACACTTTAACTCCTAACCTAAGATGCATGTAGGGTTGCAATAATCTACTCCTGAGAAAGTTCTGGTGGCTTGCAATTTATATCCATGAGGAACAGCTGTGGTTAGTTAGCATGTACTTCTTCCCATTGTTGATATACAGGGAAGAAGATTGACATCTATCATGCTCTAAATACATAGAGTTAGATAAGGATTTTTTAATTTATTTGTCTTCAGTATTTGTAGTGTGTTTTCTCAGGTCTCAAGAAAACGAAAGAATATTTTAGTGCAGTGAGATTTCTCCAGTATGAAATCTCTCCTACATATTAAGCAATATGTGAATTCTGCAAGGGTGAACATCTTCTATTCTATCCCTGTATATTATTTCATCATGGTCTCAGAGAAGAAACTTTTGCATTGATAAAATATGCACTTATTAACTTTGCGTGTCATGAGAGGTATTCGGATGTCTTTCTGTTCAGAGACTGTATTTACTGAGTAGCATGAACATCTTCAATTTACTAGGTCGTTTTTGAGTGATAGGAATCCTTTGTACGCAAATTCTTTATGAGATACGTGTTTTCTGAATATTTTCTCCTTGAGAGAATTTACCTATTCATTTTCATAATGGTATATTTTGCTGAGAAGAAGCTTTTAAGACGAATATAAAGTTTTTGCTTTTATGCTTTTTTACTTTCTGTGTCCTGTAAGAAGTCTTTGACTTCTCCCAGGTCATGAAAATAGTATCCTATGCTTTATTCTAGAAGCTTTATAGTTAGCTCTTATGTTCAGATTTATGATCCTTTTTGAATTAATTTGTGTGTGATGTGATGTAGGAATTGAGGTGTTTTCTTCTCCCAAATGAATATACAACTATTCCAGAATCATTTTCACTCAGTAGGACTTCCAGTACAATGTTGTATAGAAGTAATGAAAACAGATATTGTTGCCTTATTCCTGGTTTTAGAAAGAAAGCAATCAATATTTTACCATAAATATAATGCACAGAGAGAGAGAGACAGGAGAGGGATGGAGAGAGAGAGAGAGAGAGAGGTTCTTGTCCTCAGAAGAGTAAGAAAGCTTTTTTTCCAGAAAGTTCTCAGCAACTTCTCTCCATTTCTCATTGATCTGAATTCTGAACTATCTACTATCAATAGTGGCCTGGGATGAGATTACACCTTAGCCACATGACCCTAGAGTCAGAGTTAGAGTCAGCATATGGGCAGCGCGGAAGTGTAGACACCTGAATGAAACTAGGACTTATAAATATACGTAAAGAGGGTTAGGGAAGAGGAGAGCTATTTTATAGAATAAAAGAGGCTTGAGGCTTTGCAATCATAACAACAAAATGTGATATGTGGGTGTTATTTGGATTCTGATTCAAATAAACCAGTTATTAAAAATGTCTAAGACAATTGGGAAAATTTGAACATTCTCTGGATATCTGACAATATCATTACATCTTTTTAAATATTTTATGTGTAGTAATAGTATTGTAGTTATTTTTTGGACTCATCTTACAGAGATACATAAGAAATGGTAACAAATGAAATGCTATGATGTTTGGGAATTACATTAAAATAACCCAGTGTGAGAGTATTGGGATATGGGCAAAATAAGATTGGTTGGGTGATGAGCATATCAGATTTCATTTTTGCTATTTTGTTTACTTTTTTTTTTTTTTTGAGACAGAGTCTCACTCTGTTGCCCAGGCTGGAGTGCCATGGCGTGATCTTGGTTCACTGCAAGCTCCGCCTCCCAGGTTCACGCCATTCTCCTGCCTGAGCCTCTCGAGTAGCTGGGACTACAGGCGCCTGCCACCACACCCAGCTAATTTTTTGTGTTTTTAGTAGAGATGGGGTTTCACTGTGTTAGCCAGGATGGTCTCGATCTCCTGACCTTGTGATCCACCCGCCTCAGCCTCCCAAAGTGCTGGGATTACAGCGTGAGCCACCGCACCCGGCCTTGTTTACTTTTATGTAGAAAATTCCTTAATAAAATTTAAAACCATCTACCTAAAAAAATGAAAATAGGGACTGTCACCAAAAATAGGGAGACAATGTTTTGGAGGCAACTGCAATTCCCACTCTATTGATCCTTTTCATTTATATTACTGTTTCTGATTATTTAAAATTATTTTATTTATTTTTACATATTTGAATAAGCAATGAATTTACAGAGGTAAAAATTAGAAGGATCTAAAAAGATATACAGTAAGAAGTCTCCCTCTCATGCGGGGCCTTGTTACTTCGTTTTCCGTCCCCATAGCTGCCCTCTCCACTTCTCTTGTAATCAGTGCTATCCTTTTATCATATACACCATTTTTAGTGGCTGCAAAATATTGCATATATAAACATACCATAACTTATTGAGCAATTTTCTTATTGTTAAACTTTTATGTCTTTCTTACTTATTTAGAGAGCTTTCTGTATTTTAGATCTTACACTATCAATAATTTCTCCTTCTCTGAAATATTCAATTAATTAAAATATCCTTGGCTGGGCGAGGTGGCTCACGCCTGTAATCCCAGCACTTTGGGAGTCCAAGGCGGGCAGATCACCTGAGGTCAGGAGTTGGAGATGACTCTGGCCAACATGGTGAAACCTTGTCTCTACTAAAAATACCAAAATTAGCTGGGCATGGTGGCACACACTTGTAATCCCAGATGCTCAGGAGGCTGTGACAGGAGAATCACTTGAACCCAGGAGGCGGAGATTGCAGTGAGCCAAGATTGCACCATTGCACTCCAGCCTGGGTGACAAGAGCGAAATTCCATCTAAAAAAAAAAATCCTCAATTACCTGGTAACTTGAAAAAACAAAACAAAAAAACCCCAAAACTTTCTCTCAACCCCAATCCCACTCCAGCTACCTTTCTGTTGCTCTTTTTATTCCACAGCCTGGTTCAACTATCAATATTTTACCAGGACAGACTGTCTGAACAATTGAGCCCTTCAGGAAGCGAACTCCCTTTGGGAGGTCAACCTGCAAGGATTAGTCTTGAACAAGTTGATGCTTCTTTTCTACTTTATATTATCTCCTTAGTTTCCAAACACTATCTGTAGAGTTATATCTCCAAATGTATATTGTAAGCCCAGAATAGCCATGTATGTCGAGTCATCTATTTGATATCTCCACTTCAGTACCTCAAAGGCACCTCAAACTTTCCATGACACAATCTCCTTTTCCATACCTGGTTCTATTCAGTGTTCTCTTTTCCCAGGAATGGTGCCATCATACATAAAATTGCATAATCCATTTTCTGTTTCCCATTTCTCATACGCAGTCCATCATTAGGTGTTATTGATTTTATTACAAAAATATTTCTCAATGTTATTTTGAAAACATTTTACTCTACTGACATAACCACTATGCTGTCCAAAAGACAATCATCTTTTGGACTAAATAGTAAGTAGCCCACAAACTATTTATTGCTTATCTATCCAACTGTCAATCTAATTCATTCTTCATCCTTCAGGTGGAGTAAACGTTTTCCTTCCAAACACAAATCTGATCATATTATTCCCACTTGCTTAAGATCCTTTAATGCCTTTCCACTGCTCTTATGCTAAAGGCCCTATCATGGCTAGCAAAGCCCCACATGGACTGCTTCCTCTCTCACCATTTCGTAGTGTACTCCCTTTTGCTCCTTGACTTTCAATGACATAACCAAAATACAACTTTCTTTAGATTCCTTGAACATTTCATGCACCATAGGATCTTTGCAAATTCCATTCTCTCCATTGAGCACTTTTTTTTTTTTTTTGAGATGGAGTCTCGCTTTGTCACCCAGGCTGGAGTGCAGTGGCACAATCTTAGCTCACTCCAACTTCCGCCTCCCAGGTTCAAGCGATTCTCCTGCCCCAGCCTCCTGAGTAGCTGGGATTACAGGCACATGCAACCATGTCCGGCTAATTTTTGTATTTTTAGTAGAGACAGGATTTCACCGTGTTAGCTAGGCTGGTCTTGAACTATTGATCTCAAGTGATCCACCTGCCTCAGGCTCCCAACGTGCTGGGATTATAGGTGTGAGCCACCACACCCGGCCTCTTTTTTTTTTTTTCAAGCAGGGTCTCACTCTGTCACCCAGGCTGGAGTGCAGTGGCACAAACATGGCTCACTGCAACCTCATTCTCCTAGGCTTGAGTGATCCTCCTGCCTCAGCCTCTGGAGTAGCTGGGACCACAGAGGCACGCTATCATGTCTGGCTGATTTTTAAATTTTTTTGTCAAGACAAGGTCTCGCCATGTTGCTCAGGCTGGTATTAAACTCCCGGACTCAAACGATCCTCTTGCCTCAGCCTCCCAAAGTGCTGGGGTTACAGATGTGAGCTACTGCGCCCCACCAAGAATATTCTTTATCACCCTAGCTCCTTTGCCTAGATACCTTCTATTTATCTTTTGATTCTTAGGTTAAGTGTCTGTTTTTTTGGAAATCCTCTCTAGATGTTCCTAGTCTTTCACAGAATGTTTTTTCCAGCCTTTCAGAACACTTATCTCTACTTACAATTACATATCCGTGAGCATAATTATTTGAAAAACATTATTTAAGAAATATCTCTATTCCCCTCCTACAGGCAGTATGTTTTTTTGTTCACTAGGAATTTAGTAATACTTCTGTATAAATAAATATTATATTTATCTATACACCTTTGTTTCTATTTCAGGTTGTTTCTTTGGACTATATGCCCAGAGGTGAATTGAATGAATCAAAAGGTACACAACAATTCTTTTTTTTTTTTTGAGAGGGAGTGTCTGGGTCTTTGCCCAGGCTGGAGTGCAGGGGCACGATCTCAGCTCACTGCAACCTCTGCCTTCCGGGTTCAAGCAATTCTCCTGCCCCAGGCTCCTGAGTAGCTGGGTTTACAGGCACGTGCCACCACACCTGGCTAATTTTTGGTAGAGACAGGGTTTCACCATGTTGGTCAGGCTGGTCTCCATCTCCTGACTTTGCGATCCACCCGCCTTGGCCTCCCGAAGTGTTGGGATTACAGGTGTGAGTCACCGCAATCAGCCTGTACACAACATTTCTAATGGCTTTCAGTACACAGACAGTTAGATGTGTTAATAGGCGATGACATATTCTCCCCTAAAGAACCCATTAATGAATCAAAGATAATTTGGGAAAGTTTTAGGTTGTAATTTCAATGAGGTTTTTTTTTTTTTTTTTTGCTTTCTTTTGTTTCAGCATTTTAATCTGTGACTTCAATCCCTATATAGAGAGGGAGCTTGTCAAGTCTGCACATGATACACAGCACAGAAGATACCAGACAACTGATTAATAGATGCAGGACCCAGCAATATCTTTTCAGGTTATACTAATGACCTCAGGCTGGGTGCGGTGGCTCATGCCTGTAATCCCAGCACTTTGGGAGGCTGAGGTGGGTGGATCACCAGAGGCCAGGAGTTTGAGACCAGCCTGGCCAACATGGTGAAACCCCGCCTCTACTAAAAATACAAAAAATAGCCGGGTATGCTGGCGCTAACCTGTAGTCCCAGCTACTCGGAGGCTGAGGCACAAGAATTGCTTGAACCCAGGAGGCGGAGGTTGCAGTAGGGGTTGCAGTGAGTGGAGATCATACCACTGCACTCCAGCCTGGGCAACAGAGCAAGACCCTATCTCAAAACGACAACAATAACAACAACAACAACAAAAACTAATCAAGATGAAATCCAGCAGGACAAATGTAGGATCCTTCACTTTGATTAAGAAATTCTGTAGCATGGGTACTGGATGAAAGTGTAGTTTAGTGAGACCCGTGGCTGCCTCTCATTGCTAACTCCAAAGTCCCTTCTACTGGCTTATGTGTCCCCTGCATTTCCTGCCTCTACTTCCAGACCTACAGTCTGCTTTGTTTTTCCTTTGATAGCTTCCTCTGTCCACTCCATTTCTTGGGATTTTCAACCTACCCTACCCTGGCTTTGGCCATGGTCTTCCTAGTTGCCACCTCAGTGACACTGCTCTGAAGAAGGGCACTCGGATGCGTTGTATTTTTGTAACTGTAATATATGTGCTTTAAAAGGATGTGTATTCCCTCTTCATTAGTAGTGAAGTGAATGTTCACACGTGCCCTTTAATGAGACTTGTAGTTGAAGTTTTTTAATCTTCTGTATCTTTAACTGTCTTTTTCTGCTAGCTTTATTCGTTTCAGAGCGAAGGGTGTGAAAAATCTAGCACCATGGTGTGGAACTTATACTTGTAATTCTGTCAAGTGTAGCTTTATTTTTAGTCTATGTCTTTAGGTGTAGGTTCAGGACTAGTATAAACTTTCTGGTAACTCTCTTTGACTCTAATAATGTTTTTTCCTTTAAAATTTATTTTGCTGATATTAATATTGTTCATGATAGTTAATTTTCTGTGCCAACTTGGAGGGTGTTTTTGGAAGAGATGAACATTTAAATTGGTTAAAGCAGATTGCTCTCCATAATATGGGTGGGCTTCATCCAATCAGCTGAAGGCCTGAATAGAAGAAACAGCAAGAGGGAATTTTTCAGCAGACTGCCTCCAGACTTCATCTGTCTTACTAGCTGCCCTGGCCTTTGACTGGAATGGCATCATCAGGTCTCTTGGGTATTGAGACCGCTGGTCCAAACTGTAGATTTTGGATTTGCTAGCTTCCATAATCACGTGAGTCAATTTCTGATAATAAATCTCTTTCTCTCTCCATATATATACACACATTCTACTGGTTCTGTTTCTCTAGAGAACCCTGATATATTTTTATATCACATTTATTTGGCTAATATTTTCTATGGTATCCCTTTTTTCCATTTCCTTTTGGAAATGGTGGTCCCTTAGAAACAGCAAATAGCTGTTTTATTTGATCTTTTCAGATGTAAGAAATAAATCAGATCAAGTACAAATTGCGATCCAGGATATTTTGAGTCAGTGTTGAGAAGCTTGCCTTACTGCATTTCCCGTACAGTTTATAAAGCGTAAAGATGAAGTACTTTGGCCTTTTTTCATGATTGTCTGTTATACATTAATTTTTTTAGGGAAACTATTTAAGCTGATTTGTCTATAGCTGATTGGCTTAGTTTCACTGAATCATGCTGACAAGGATATAAACCTTGCGTTTTGTGTTTATTATTACAGATGGTGTTTTGGGGAAATGAGGATGATGAGTTTTGGTTTGTGGTTATACACAGTTGGACTTGGGTATATCTAAACTGTGGCCTCCATTTTTATTTTTCTTTAACACACTATCTAAGACCTCTATGTTTTAGAGTAAACATTGAGTTTACTCTGTTTATATTTTCTGTGACCATGGATATATTTAGATTTATTTCTACTGCTACTTTATGTTTTGTTTTTATGACCATTTTTCTTTGCTTCCCACCCATTTCCTGCCTTTTGTTGAACAGATTGTTTTTCTCTTCTCTTTCCCTTAATGCTTGGGAATCTTCAATAAAACCAATTTCCAGGAAGAAAAAAATACCAGATATACAAAAAAGAAAGTTGAAACTGTCTGGGCCACAGAAGAACCTGGGTTATCATTAGTGAAAAACTCTACGCTTTTGTTAATGGAACTTATGATACAAAGTGCCCTTTTGAAACTTCCACTTGATGTTTTTGGTGTTGGTGACAGGTGAGAAAATCTACTCTTTAGCTAATAATAATCTATAAGAAGCTGTTTAGCTGTTTTGGTGTTCTCCTGGGCAGCTTTCTTCTTGGTGTGATAAGTTGCCCTGTCTAATACGGTAACCACAAGGCACATACAGCTATTTAACTTAATTAGTTTCATTACTTATACTTTAATACAAATTTAAAATTCAGTTGCACCAGCCACATTTCAAGCACCCAGTAACCCCATTTGGTTAGTGGATGCTATTTTGGACATTGCAGATTATAGAATATTTCTATCATTGCAGAAAGTTCTGTTGGACAGGAGGTGATAAGCTGATAGTAGTACTGCAGCTTTATACATTTTGAAGCAGAGCTATTGGGAGACGGCATCATATTGCAGAATTTGGAACTGACAATTCACATCAGCATTACCTGTTCCATTATCTTCTGCTCCTGTGGTGAACAGTGACCAGCATGAGATGCAATGCCCACCATGGAGGCTGCTGGGGGCTCCTACCCCTGCCCACAAACTCCAGGCTTGGTCCTCACAGGACGTTGGAGGTAATTTATATGGAGCAACAGCCTAGAGAGCAATGGTGATAACAGCAGCTGAGAGAAGCTGAGGGGCCAACTTCTGTACAGCAGTGGGAATCCTGACTTTTTGAATAGCATAAGAGGCCAAGCAAGACTGGAACATTTTTAGTTGAAGCCAGGTTGCAAATGGTTGAGCCTGGGCTAGACTGGTCCATAACGTCTGGTATTTCTTTCTTCCTTTCCTTTTTTTTTGAGACAGGGTCTCGCTCTGTCACCCAGGCTGGAGTGCAATGGCAGGATCTCAGCTCACTGCAGCCTCTGTCTCTCGGGTTCAAGCGATTCTCCTGCCTAAGCCTCCCGAGTAGCTGGGATTTCAGAGGCACACCACCACGCCCGGCTAATTTTTGTATATACATATTTTTAGTAGAGACAGGGTTTTACCATGTTGGCCAGGCTGGTCTCAAACTCCTGACCTCAAGTGATCCGCCTGCCTTGGCCTCACAAAGTGCTGGGATTACAGGCATGAGCCACTGCGCCCAGCCTCTGGTATTCTTTTGAAACTTTGACCTCTACCACCTTGTTGCCAGACTGGTTTAGGTATCATCTGATTAGGTGAAGATTACAGAGGTCTTCCCCGTGCCTGTGGCACCACTGGCACAAATGGTCACTAGCTGGAACTGATTTAGGACGGCACTGGCAGGGAAAACACATGCCAACCACCATCTGCCCCTTCATATCCTGAATGGGCAGGTGAGACTCTCTTTCACTTGGCCAGCCAACATACATCATCAACGTACATGTGCCCATTCATTTCAGGAACAGCTTTGTCTCTTTGAGGAAGAGAAGCTGAAAAAGACAAGCCTTTTGTTTCTCCCTCACTCCAGCATCATCTTGGCACTGGTAATATATCCAAGATATATTGGTGTTAGCCAGGCTCACATTTACCCCTTTGATTGGGTTAATTTTTTGAAGTTCCAACTTCTGTTGTTTCAAGTGTTCAACTTCTGTGCAGAGCTTATGAATATGATTTTTCGCCACTGAGTTCATTTCTTCCACAATGTAGGTATCCAAATTTTTTGTAACTTACAAAGTCAAATCCTTTGGATTTCCCACTAGGCTGTGTCATCACATAGACACTTTAGCATTGTACCAAATAAATGAAAAAATTTTTTCAGGTTGTCATCATTCATATCTTCCCCAGAGCTTTAACTTTGTGCTAGGTGCCTTGTTAAGTACAGGGATACAACACAGTTCAAGATTAAATGTCCCTGCCCTCATAAAGCCGCCCGGCAGGAAAAACAACTAATTAAGCTATTGTCAAGTTATTTACAATGAAGACAAAAGCACAATATGCTTTTGGATTTGTTTGATTTTATTACTCTTTAAGTTTGACATATGAAAATACCATACTTAAAACAGTTCATGTAGGGTACCTGAAACAAAGGCACTAATACAGTACTAGAAAGGTGGTGACGGATTTAAGAACAATTGTGCCAATTTCTAATCTGTTTTATAGTAAAGTTATAGAATTGGAGGAAACTGCTCCTGTACAACTTTGGAGGAGGGTAGGAGGAGCAGGGCGTGAGAATGCCTTTCCAGAAGCTTAGGAGTACGCCCAGTCGCTGCGTGGCTTCCCGCATACTCAGCCCTGCGCCCGCGTTGGCGTGGCCTGGGCGCCCCCAACGTGACTCCGCCCAGGGCGCTCCGTTCTGCCAGCTGGAAACTACAGTTCCCAGAAGGCCACGCGAGCCCGGGAGGGACGCGGCGGCGGGGGCTGCAGGAAAGGCGCGAGCAGAGGCGGCGGCGGGTGTACTGTAGGTGGTCGGTCCGGCAGCAGCCCGGCCCCCGGACGCAGGACGTGGCCCCAGGCAGCCCTCGCAGCTCAGTGCTCTAGCCGGGGCAAGCCCGCGTCTCCGCCTGCTGGACGGGCCCAGGCGAGATGTAGGGCTCTGGGCGCGGAGGCCGCCGGTGGGGCGGCTGATCGCGGAGGATCGCGGAGGGCGCGCCGAGGATGGAGAGAGCGATGGAGCAACTCAACCGCCTGACGCGCTCGCTGCGCCGCGCGCGCACCGTGGAGTTGCCCGAGGGTGAGCCGGGTCGCGGGGCCAGGCTGGCCGCGGGGCTGGGGGCGGCCAGTGGGGCAGGAGCTCCGGCCGCGTCAAGGTCGGGTGGAAAAACTAACTGAAAGCTGAGAAAACGCCCACTTTTACTTTCCAGAGCTGAGAGGCGGCCCCGGGCCCCGAACTCCCCTGGCCCGACGCTCCCACCCCGGCAGGTGGGAGTTTTCGGGAGGAAACTGGGTTGGTGGGGGTTCCGCTGCTGGGAGGAGCGAGACAAAGGTCTCGCAACGTCTGTCGATTAGGGGTCTTGGCAAAGGGGCAGGAATACCAGCCGGAGGCCCGAGACCCGGAGTCAGAAAACATCATAATTGCGGGTCATTTAACAGTAGCTGGGGATAGAGATGATCCAAAGATACTGTTTACTTTAAGCTGCATCGGGGGGCCAGGCGGGCTTTTATTTTTGTTATTTTTTAAAATGTGGGGCACTGCCTTGTTTTGATAACAGGCAAACAAAGGGTTGTCAAACATCAAACAGGTACTCTTAAAGTACTGTATGGGTAAACACAATATATTTTTCTTTAATATGCATGCCTGCCTTCATTCTTCATTTATTCATCAGACTAGTATTGAGTGGGCTAGCTGGTAACTAGGACGCATCTGCAAAGAGGAATAAGGCATGGTCCCTGAGGATCAGGACTTTTAGTTCAGCGTGCCAGGGTTCCCTCAGGACAGGTAAAACTCTGCTAATAACAAGGAGAGAAAATAAGCAGTTTTGTTTGCAGCGTCAGGAATTCAGACATTTTAGTGGTGATGGGAGACAGCAGTGCTGCTTCTAAGAAGCTTTTGGCTCTTTATGCCCAAGTGAGAGAAGGGTTGGGAGGAGGTTGTAGCTGGTGAATAGCTTTTTTCTTAATTGTAGTAGTTTATCTTACTTTTTCAAAACTCTCTTTGAATTGCTGCTGGGTGGTTTGTAGGATAGGGAAGGAGACCTTGGCAGACGGTCATGAAAGAAATGTGGGATTGGGTACTTTGGCGATAATTTTCTTTCCTTTCTTTTATAGAGATGAGGTCTCACTATGTTCCCCAGGCTGGTCTTGAACTCCTGGGCTCAAGTGATCCGCACCCTGCTCCCCCCAAAGTGTTGGGATTACAGATGTGAGCCACCGCGCCTGGCCTGGGGATAATCTTCTTGAAAAAATGGTCTCTAGTCTCTATTTAGAATTCAGATTTTGGTAACTAGATTCTAGCTTCAACTTTTTCTATATTTTCTTTCCAACTTCCACCTTTGAATCCATTTCTTAAGTGCTACTCTTACTTATTTTTCGTAGTCGAATTATTGGTATAGCTTTATGAAGACTACATGTATAATTTATATTGTCTAGTTTGAATCCCGATATTTTTTACATAAATGTGATTTAGAAGACTTTGATAATGTTACTTGGTTTTAAAAGTAATATAGTTTCATTGTAGAAAATTTGGAAAATAAAGAAAAATAGAAAAAAATATGTCATTTCACCATCCAGTTATAAACAGTGTTACCATTGTTATTTCTTTTTCCCTCCCTAACAAGTTAAAATCATGTTGCATATAGTCTTTTATTTTGTGTTTAGAAAACATCCTTTTTTTTTTTTTTTTTTGAGACGGAGTCTCACTCTGTCGCCCAGGCTGGAGTGCAGTGGCGCCATCTCGACTCACTGCAAGCTCTGCCTCCGGGGTTCACGCTATTCTCCTGCCTCAGCCTTCCCAGTAGTTGGGACTACAGGCCCCTGCCACCAGGCCCGGCTAATTTTTTGTATTTTTAGTAGAGACGGGGTTTCACCGTGTTAGCTAGGATGGTCTCGATCGCCTGACCTCGTGATCTGCCCGCCTCGGCCTCCCAAAGTGCTGGGGGATTACAGGCGTGAGCCACCGTGCCCCGCCCCAAATGTTTTTTTTTTTTTGTATTCTTCAATAGGCTTAATGACTTCAGAATTTCATAGGATGCATGTAACAAATGTTGAATCTAAATACTGTTTTTAAACTGATTTTATGAGAAACAGCTTTGTATTTAAGACATAGTCTGCCTCTAAATACTTCCTTAGGGTTAATTCTTACAAGAAGAATATCTACAATACATTTCTAAGGCTCAACATATCAGTTTCTCAACTTACTCCTTGGAAAGTTCCACCAGCAGTCCGAGAGTGCCCAGAAACTAGAGTATTATTAGTAAAAGTAAAACTTTTCCACATAGGCAAAAATGGCATCGTTTGCATTTGCTTTTCTTTGATTATAATGTTCATTTTGTTCCTTGAATTTAATTTATCTTTGTCTCTAAGCTCTGATGAGTCTTTGAATTCTCTGAGCTTGGCTCTTTAAAGTATATCATACATATAGGAATATATATATATATATGTAAATATATATGTAAATATATATGTAAATAAATATATATATGTAAATATATATATAACATTCCTACTGATACAAATCCACATTTGTGCTTACATTTTAAGAGCTGAATGGAAACTCTGAGATCTCTCTAAATTTAGAAAATAATCAGATTTTTTTTGCTTTGTTAGAATTCAGTAATCAATAAGCATCTAATTACAACAAACTATTAAACTTGTAAACTTTTTAGTCAGCTTGTACTCTAAAATTAATTTTGTTGCAAAGGTTGAAACTATAGATGTTTGATAAACTGAGTTGGATGCTATGTTTCCTTGAGATGATGAAAACCTGAGTATTACCCTAAGTAATGGAGTGCAGGTAGTTGAGTCCTCCTAGGCAGGCCTAACACAGGAATATTCTTGAGAGAAAAAGAGGTGAAGAGTAAGAAATTACTTTAGGGATATGGATTCTTAGTAGTGTTTAAAAGTTGGAGGCCGGGCGCAGTGGCTCACACCTGTAATCCCAGCACTTTGGGAGGCCGACGTGGGTGGATCACCTGAGGTCAGGAGTGTGAGACCAGCTGGCTAACATGGTGAACCCCCGGCTCTACTAAAAATACAAAAAATTAGCTGGATGTGGTGGCGGGTGCCTGTAATCCCAGCTACTTGGGAGGCTGAGGCAGGAGAATTGCTTGAACCTGGGAGGCGGAGGTTGCAGTGAGCCAAGATCGCGCCACTGCATTCCAGCCTGGACATCAAGAGCGAAACTCAGTCTCAAAAAAAAAACACATAAATAAAAGGAAGGTGTATGTTGTTAGTGTATGTAAAGTTTGAACTACTATATAGTGAATGCAGTTTGTTTAATAAAATAATAAAATTTGAGCCCATTTTAGCATATGTGATTGGGATAATTGTGTTTAAAAAAATTACTCCATGTGATGGTTTGAAGAGAAATTGTATATAATTAATTACTCTGAGCACCTTTTTTTTGTTAACAGTTGGGTTTTGAAACTGTAGTGATAAAAATGGCAAACATGTCTAATAAAGTGATAGATTAAACTTTTCTTGTCACCCTGGAGACTTTAATTATATACCTAATCCTGAAGGTGTCTTCAAGAGTAGACAAGGAAGTATCTGGCAACAAATTGTATTCTGTCCTTTCTTAGTATAGTATTTCTTGGATAGTCTTCTTCTAGCACCACAGTTGTGGTTAGATTTATTTCTTCATACTTACCTGTTAATGTATGTGACCTACTTTTTTCTTTAGGTTAGATGTGACTTAAGATGTAAATCTAATTTTTATCTAAAAAATAAAAACCTTACAAGTACAACCATTGTGAACCTTATTATGCTCACTAACGCTCACTTAAAATTATGCACTATCTTGATTTAAAGTTTATCTTGATTTAAGTTTAAACCCACAAATAACAGTGTTTTTTATGACTTTATTATGGGGTGACTTAATGGAAATTCTCATGGTTTAGAAGTTCAGATTTTTATTGGGACATGTATTATTATATGAACGATAAAGAATGTTGTCATGCCAAGGGAGGCTTAGTGTAGTATTTTCAACTCCTGGTGGTGACTCATTGGTAGTTTCTGAGAGCAATTAGTGGGTTGCAGTCAGCATTTAAAAAAAGAAATATAAGAGGATAAAACAGAGTCTATTTTACATATTAAGAATAGTATTCTATTGTAGACCTTCTGGTTATGTGGTATATACTGGGTGCATTGTAGGATATATTATCTTTTTATTTTTTATCTTTATTTTTTATTTTTTTTTCCGAGATGGAGTCTCGCTCTGTTGCCCAGGCTAGAGTGCAGTGGCATGATCTCGGCTCATTGCAAGCTCTGCCTCCTGGGTTCACGCCATTCTCCTACCTCGACCTCCCGAGTAGCTGGAACTACAGGTGCCTGCCACCATACCCGGCTAATTTTTGTATTTTTAGTAGAGATGGGGTTTCACCTTGTTAGCCAGGATGGTCTTGATCTCCTGACCTTGTGATCTGCCTGACTTGGCCTCCCAAAGTGCTGGGATTACAGGCGTGAGCCACTGCACCCAGCCAGGATATATTATTTGTAGAGGCTCTGGAATCAGCCACATAATGCCACTGTTACACAGCTTGTTACTTAACTAGTACTTCAGTTTTCTCATTTGTAAAATGAGGATAATAGTACCTACTTCATAGGGTGGTTGTGAGGAGAAAAGCAATGATACATGCAAAGTGTTTAGAAAAGTGCCTTTAAGATAATGGTTCTTAAATGTTATTAATAGGATTTATTAGTATTTTACTTTTATAGTGAAAAAGTTGTTGCATCTGCATACTGAACTTGTGAATGTTGCCAAGGACTAAATTGTTTTTCATGTATACACTCACAGTAAAATAATGAACAAATATGTGAAGGAATATTGATAACTTTTTTCCATTTCCCCTATAAATAGCTCAGTTTATATTTCTAAACATATGAATTATGTTTTTCAAACACAATTATAATACCATTACTAGAGCCAATACAATTAACAGTAATATTGTATTATCTTGAAATAAAATACCAAGTCCATATACAGTTTGTCCTCATCTCAAAAATTGTCTCAAAAATGTCCTTTTACAGTTTTTTTTTTTGAATCACTATCCAGATAAGGACTACATATTACGTATGGTTGATGTGTCTCTTAAGACTCTTAATGTATGACAGTTCCTCCTCCTTTTAAAATAAGTATTTTTTAAAGTAATTTTAAACTTACAGAAAACTTACATGAATAGCCCAGAGTTCCTCCCATGTAACTTCCACTCACCTTTCCCTAAGGTTAACATCTTGTACAACCACAGTACAGTTGTCAAAAATAAGAAATTAACATTTGTGTATACTATTAACTATACTACAGAGTTTGTTAAAATTTCACCAGCTTTCCCACTAATGTCATTTACGGATCCAATTCAGGATACCACATTGCCTTTAGTTATGTTTCTTTAGTCTCCTCCAAACTGTGATAGTTCTTTAGTTTTTCTTTGTGTTTAACGGTCGTGAGACTTTTAAAGAGGACTGATCAGGTGTTTTGTGGAATTCCCTTTAATTTGGGCTTTTCTGACATTTTCTCATGATTAGATTGAAGTTATGCATTTTTGGCAAGAACAGTAGTCCACCCTCATCTGCAGCTTTGCTTTCCGAGGTTTCAGTTGCGGGAGGCACAGCACAATATTTTGAGAGAGAGGGAGAGAGACCACATTCACATAACTTTTATTACAGTATAGTATTATAATTGTCCTAATTTATTATTTATTGTTGTTAATCTCTTACTGTGCCCAATTTATAAATTAAACTTTATCATGTAGGGAAAAAAATCATATACATAGGGTTTGGTACTATCCATGGTTTTAGGCATTGACTCGGGGTCTTGGAATGTATCCCCTGCGGATAAGTGGGGACTGCTGTACTGCAAAAGTGATGTGTCCCCTTTCAGTGGATCATATCAGTAACTATATGATATTGAGCATATATTATTTTTGGTGATGTTACCCTTTGTCAGTTGATTAAGATAGTGTCTGCTGGGTTCTTCACTATAAATTTTCTTTTTCCTTTGTAATTAGTCAGTATTTTTGAGAGGTACTTGATACTGTGTAAATATCTTGTTTCTCCTTAAACTTTAACCTATTAACTGAGCATCAGCATTAACTTTTAAAGGGCTGAGTGGGGGTTGTCAGGGTTTCATCTTTGTAAATAATTTATTAAAAAACATAAACCTCCAAAATACATTGAATTGAGAAATGACCCTTAGTAATATATAAAAATCAATTCAAAACACTAGCTAAAATGTACATAAGTATAATATGGCATCATAGATGTTGATTTTTAACCTTTTGGGTCATGTTTTTGTGAATTTATTGTGTAAAGGGTCTCTCTTAGCCTGTTTTCTGCTGATACAACAATACCACAGACTGGATAATTTGTAAAGAAAACAAATGTATTTCTCACAGTTCTGGAAGCTGGGAAGTCCAACAGTGTGGCACCAGCATCGAGTAAGAGTCATCCCATGGTGGAAGGCAGAACGGTGAGAGAGGAAGGGTGCTGAACTTCATTATAACTAACCCACTCCTGGATTAACAGAATTAATCCATTCATGAAAGAGGAGCCCTCATGGCTCAATTGCCTCCCCAAAGCCTCACCTCTTCACACTGCCATAATAGCAACCAAATTTCCAACACATGAACTTTTGGTAGATGCATTCAAACCATAGCACATATGAATAAAAATGTTGTGAGTAAAGTGGTAAGTACAATGAAGACTTCAGTGCTCTTTCATAAAAGCTTCTAAACTAATTTCTTTTGTAATAATATTGACAAGAAGCCAGTATTGTGTATATTTAAGGTTTTAAAATTATTTTAGCATATATATATTTAATATCCATATATATTTAAAATTCCCCCAAACTACATGTAAGTATGATAAAACATGATGCCTATAAATACCTCTTTGGAAGTAAAAGAAATTTCAATTGTTAAAGCTACAGAAAGGTTTTTGGATGATGATGCGCGGGCTACCATACTACACTTAGAGAATTGTTTTTTGGTGGATAATGGGACAAAACCTTCTGAAGAATCAGTCTTTAATTGTCCTTTTACATCCAGAAGCTAAGCTCTTTTGTAATGATGTAAAAGGGATAAGCAGTGGAGGGGATGAAAGATTCTTCACTATCGTAAATTCTGAAATACCTCTGGTATTCTGCATTATTCTTTCCTCCTTCTTCCTCTCCTTTTCGCTTTTTGTATAGAGTTAGGAAAATTCTAAACTAATCTTAAGTATCACCCCTTGCACAAAGTAGGGGATAAATGAACTCTTTGTTTTTTTTTACTCAGATAATGAAACTGCTGTTTATACATTAATGCCAATGGTTATGGCTGATCAACACAGGTGAGTGCTTGTTCCAAAAATTTTTGCTTTTTAAGAAGCATACATTGTTCTAAATGTGTACTGCATGCCCGTGCACGCGCACGCGCGCACACACACACACACACACACACACACACAGACAGTTTGGACATAGATGTTCTGGGGCAAGTTATTTAACTTTTCTGTTATAATTTTGTGTGTGTGAAATAAGGAATAAGATTTTCCAAGATCTATATGAGCTGTAACATTTTATGATAGATTTTCTTAATGAATATTGAAATACTAAGTATTTGGTTGGTCACTCACATAGAAAAATACATTGTCATGATTTCTTTTAGAGGTCACTACTGATCTTTATAGTAAAAGATTATGGCTGAGGGACAACTTATTTCCCTTATGTGCTACTTATTTTTGTGTTCCTTTTATTGATGTAGTGTTGACATTCTTTTACAGGGCCATATATGAAATACAATTATTTGGCTTTGTGAGGGGGTCTTTACACTTACACCAGTCAGCTCTGCCATGGCTAGCCATTGAATTTTTTGATATAAGAAGAAGAATGTAAAGAGAAACTATTTTGAAACAAGTTAAAAAAATTTTTTTTTTTGTTTTAAATTTCCTACCTGGTATAATTAAAAAATGTTTTTTGTCTGATTTTCTTTATTTGGCCAAAATTAATATAGCTAGGCTCAACTTTTGGCAAGGGGAGCAGCCAGGCCTACACCCTTTGTTTCTCAAGAATCTAAGGAAAGCTAAAGCCAGCTTAGTCTGTTGTGTGTCCTAAGAGCAGGTAACATAGGATTATCCAAGTGGCAGATGAGGAAACCTTCAGCACCAGCTTATTGGTCAAGGCGTTTGGTTTTTGGATGATACTGAGCTGGCTAACATACTAAGAGAATAGTGCAGTATTTTGTGGTGGGTGTGGGACAAAACCTGAAGAATCAGAAGAATAGCTAGGCCGGGTGGGGTGGCTCACGCCTGTAATCCCAGCACTTCGGGAGGCCGAGGCAGGCAGATCACGAGGTCAAGAGATTGAGATCATCTTGGCCAACTTGGTGAAACCCCCTCTCTACTAAAAATACAAAAATTAGCCGGGTGTAGTGGCATGCGCCTGTAGTCCTGGCTACTCGGGAGGCTGAGGCAGGAGAATTGCTTGAACCAGGGAGGTGGAGGTTGCAGTGAGCCAAGATCTCGCCACTGTACTCCAGCCTGGTGACAGAGCAAGACTCTTGTCTCAACAAACAAACAAACAAACAGAGCAGCTAAAGAGTTGTTAACTTGATTTATTATGTTTTTAAAAACTTTTTTTACACTTGATTCCTCATTTTTATTTTGGCATAGGTCTGTTTCTGAACTACTATCAAATTCAAAATTTGATGTCAATTATGCATTCGGACGTGTGAAAAGAAGCTTGCTTCACATTGCAGCAAAGTAAGACTAAAGATATTTTGAGTTAAACTCTGATCTAGGGCAAGGATCAGTAAGCTTTGAACAGCATTATCACACAATATTTCTGGGGAGAGATGAGAACAGACAGCTGAGTAGTTCTTTATCCTGTTTGAGCGCGTGGTGTGCTATCCGTTCTGTCTCTAAACTGTTAACTTTGGGATTGTATGTAAATCTCATGTCCCTCTTGTCTTTGTTTTATATCAGATGAGAGTAGGTTAGACATGGAGATTGTCTTTCCTGGATGTACTTACTGGTACAGTTCACCAAAATTTTCTTTTTATCCCAGCAATATGAGATTTTATATGCTGTCTGCAGATGAAGTCATTGGCTTTATATTTTTTACATAGGTGGAGAATGATTTTTATCTACAGTCTCCTGGTATGTAATCAATCAGTTAACTAATTGGTACCTATCCTCTTTTCAGGATTTAGGTAGATGTGTTGAAATTAATTTTTCATGAATAATTTGGCTTACGAAAGGCCAGAAGGTTGAAAGTATCATATGGTTTCTTTGAAGTATTTGAATTTCTCAAATACTTTATAATTTTCATAGTAGAATGGACCATCTTGAAAGTAGAGAATGTTTACTATTTGTGTCAGAAGTTAAATCAAATTATAGGTAAAAATAATGTGTTTAAAAGGCCATGCACAGGGGCTCACACCTGTAATCCCAGCACTTTTGGAGGCTGAGGTGGGTAGATCACTTGAGGTCAGGAGTTCGAGACCAGCCTCGCCAACATGGTGAAACCCCATCTCTACTAAAAATACAAAAATCAGCTCGGCGTGATGGCGTGCGCCTGTAATCCCAGCTACTTGGGAGGCTGAGGCAGGAGAATTGCTTGAACCCTGGAGGCTGAGGTTGCAGTGAGCCAAGATTGTGCCACTGCTTTCCAGCCTGGGTGACACAGCAAGACTCTGTCTCAAAAAAAAAAAAAAAAAAGGACGGGCGTGGTGGCTTACGCCTGTAATCCTAGCACTTTGGGAGGCCGAGGCGGGCGGATCTTGAGGTCAGGAGATTGAGACCATCCTGGCTAACATGGTGAAACCCCGTCTCTGCTAAAAATACAAAAAAAAGTAGCCTGGCATGGTGGCAGGTGCCTGTAGTCCCAGCTACTCGGGAGGCTGAGGCAGGAGAATGGCGTGAACCCGGGAGGCGGAGCTTGCAGTGAGCTGACATCGCACCACTGCACTCCAGCCTGGGTGACATGCGAGACTCTGTCTCAAGAAAAAAAAAAAAATGTGTTTAAGGCCAGGCATGGCGGCTCACACCTGTAATCCCAGCACTTTGGGAGGCTGAGGTAGGAGGATTGCCTGAGTTCAGGAGTTTGAAATCAGCCTGGGCAACATAATGAGGTCTCTTCTCTACAGAAAAAAAAAAAAAAAAATTACCCAATTGTGGTGGCTCATGCCTGTAAGTCCCAGCTACTTGGGAGGCTGAGGTGGGAGGATTGCTTGAGCCCAGGAGGTCAAGGCTACAGTGAACTGTGATGGTGCCACTGCACTCCAGCATGGGCGACAGAGCAAGACTGTCTGAAAAACAAAAAGAAAATTGTGTTTAATAGAATATTTTGTTTTTTAATTGAACTACATCAAGTATGGCTGTATGTTGAATGTATCTGAACTGTCTTTTAATATTGTTTTAGTTGTGGATCGGTGGAATGCTTGGTTTTGCTGTTAAAGAAAGGAGCAAATCCTAACTATCAAGATATTTCAGGCTGTACACCCCTTCATTTGGCAGCAAGAAATGGGTAACTATTTAGTTTTCTTAAGTGGCTTAAGTTGTATTATCAGTTATTCAAGGCACTTTGCCTTCGTTTGATGATTCCTCCCGCATCCCTGATATTTACCTTGGGAAAAACTAAAATAATGGTGCATATTTTATTTTCTATATTTTTTTTGTCTCTCAAAGATATTATTGATGATATTGTTCTTCTTTATAGTGGATCTGGGGTCATTATATTCAATTTAAAAATAGCTATCATATTTATTAATTTATTAGATTCTCACTAATTTTCTTCTTGAAAATATTATATGTGGAAGTTCATTATTACTTGTATTATAGTGACATTGTATTTTCTGAAAAGCATAATTTTCATCTCTATTTTAGTGTGCTTTTTTTCTGCTAATCTTTTGCCACTCCTAACTCCATGGCTCATTTTGCAAATTGCTTGTTTAGCTAATTTTATTAATGGAATTATACACAGACTTAATATATTGTACACAGTTTATTTGTAATTATTGTGAATGAGCTGTACCAGAGTAATCTTCTTAGATACTAGGGTAGTTTACTCCTTTTAGTGCTAACATTAGTTTTTATTTAGTCTGAGAAATCAGACCAAAATGATTGGAATTATGTTTAAAATGAAAATAAGTATTTTTTGATTCAGGACTTGAAGAACTTATATTTTATAAACTCTTTCTTTTTTTTTTTTTTTGAGATGGGGTCTCACTCCGTCACCAGGCTGGAGTGCAGTGGCACAGTCTCGGCTCGCTGCAACCTCTATCTCCCGAGTTCAAGTGATTCTCCTGCCTCAGCCTCCTGAGTAGCTGGGATTACAGGCACGTGCCACCACGTCCAGCTAATTTTTGTATTTTTAGTAGAGACGGGGTTTCACCATGTTGGCCAGGATGGTCTCGATTTCCTGACCTCAGGTGATCCGCCCACCTCGGCCTCCCAAAGTGCTGGGATTACAGGCGTGAGCCACCGCACCCGGCCTAAACACTTTCAAACACTGTAAAACTTCTTTATGGAGTCCAGGCCTGTAATCCCAGCCTTTTGGGAGGCCAAGGCGGGCGGATCATCTGAGGTCAGGAGTTTGAGACCAGTCTGACCAACGTGGTGAAACCCTGTCTCTACTAAAAATACAAAAATAATCCAGGCATGGTGGCACATGCCTGTAATCTTAGCTACTTAGGAGGCTGAGGCATGAAAATTGCTTGAGCCTGGGAGGCTGAGGCATGACAGTCGCTTGAGTGCCCGGGAGAGCTAGGTTGCAGTGAGTGGAGATTGCGCCATTGCATTCCAGCCTGGACAACAGAGGGAAACTCTGTCTCAAAACATCAAAAACAACAAAAAAAACCCCAAAAAACTTCTCTATGGACACGGTATACAAATGCGTTGTGTCTTTTTTTTTAATTACTCTTGAAGATGTTTTTGTTTCCTATTCTCAACTGTGCTTCTAGATATTTGAGTTGGCTGCCTAATAAGATGGATATGGAGCTAAAAATTGTCCATTACATCAATCCGAGGCCAAATTTTTGCGTATAAAGATTAAAACAGAGCAAAAAAGACAGCAATAGTGTTGCCTAGGTTGGACAGGGGAAGGGCATAGTCCTTTGACTCTTGCTGATCTGCTCCATTTCCTGATTTAGCATGTGAGCCAGTTTAATTGTCCACTGTTCTCATAGGTAACAATGTGCTGATTAAACAGTTGTTTTTATAATTAGCCATGTTAGATATCTTGTAATGTGTCACACCCAAGGTCATAGAGTAAATCATTCATTCCCTTGCTGAATTGATCTCAGGTCTAGGTACATTATTCCACGTGTTGATAGGGTATCGACAAAGGTCTTGAAAAGGTTACATGTAGAAAAATATCATAGTACTCTGTTTCAACAACTATGTTAATGAAAGGAGAGATTAGTGCAGAGCAGGGATAAACACTCTGCTGTCATTTCAGTAGGCGACTTAGTCATAAGACTTCAGTGTGAGGAGCAAGAAATAAGTCTTAGACTTGAAAGGCAGGATGTTCTTGGTCTGCTGAAAAGAATTTTCATGTACCGTTTTTTAGAAACAAATAAAGTGGCACAGAGAAAAGAAATAGTTTTGATCACTCTTTCTGTCAACAGTGATTGAAGACCATTACATTTTAAAGGTGAAGAAATATGGCAGATATTACATGATTCACATAGCTATTCAGCAAGAAGAAAAGGAATAAAAAGAATTCATGACCCTCTCTTTAATTTGGATGCCTTTCTGTTTCTATAAAGATTACTCTTGATATTCAATACTTAAATATTTTGGTTTTTATTATTTATTGAGTGGAAGCCTTGTACAACTTAGAGGTGCTCAATGTTTGCTAAGTGACTTGAGTACTTCCTGTAGTGGCTGATGTTTTCAGAAATAGCTTTTTACTGTAATTTCTTTATGAGTTCACATTTATCCACACTGAAGTAGAAGTCATAGTAGAGTTCTTCCCATTTTGTTGGTCAGTCTGCGTTTTGGGGCCAGCTTTTTGTTTTGTTCCCTCAGCTGTCATCAGATGGCTGCTATATTTCTCTTGGCTTGCTTTAGCATTTTTCTCTTTGCCATTAGTGCTGTATTGGATTGTCCTCCTTTCCAAAAGAAGCCCCATTAAGCTTCCACAGAGCACTTGGGTGACTGGTCCCTGTGTAATTTGGGTTGCCATAAGCTCCCTATAATTGGTGCAATATCTGAGCAGGAATATAGTTGCTTCCTTGTACAGGGGGATTCAGCATTGCTCATGCTTATATGAGAATGTTAAAAGGAGAGGCTTTAAAATTATTGTGTGTTCTTAGGTTGTGTTTTGGTCAGTTTTGAAAGAAGAGTTTTTCTTTATTTTTTAGGTGATTATGAGCTCATAAAGGGTAGGGCCCATGTGTTACATAATATTTTAGTTCTGTTAGCAAAATAGCTACTTATTTATTGGGTTGATTTGACTTATTCAGACCCTGGAAAATAGTAATAATGGTTGTTCAATAGAAAGATAGGATATATTTCTCTCCTACATTCCCTGTACCTTTTGCAATTCATTTTTGGAAGGGGAAGCATTATAGATTACTGCTTTTCTTCAACAACCCCTACCATAAACACTTTTTTGGGCCTATTTCCCTGGCTCATTCCTACCTAATGATTTATTTTGCCATTATTGGCTTAGGCCAGTGGTCCATAATAGGCTTCTGAAAGGTTTTAGAAATCCACCCATATAGGTATAGACACACGATCACACATTTAAACAATGTATTTATTTTAATGGGACTATCTGGTTTGTGGTCTCATGATTATTGAATATTTATTTCTTAAGGTTTTCCTAACAGTGTGTTAGATAAAGGAACTTTGTAAATGTTTTATCTTAAAAGTTTACCCAGAGTTGGCTGGGTGTGGTGGCTTAAGCCTGTAATCCCAGCACTTTGGGAGGCCGAGGTGGGCAGATTATGAGGTTAGGAGATCGAGACCATCCTGGCTAACACGGTGAAACCCCTTCTCTACTAAAAATACAGAAAATTAGCCAGGCATGGTGGCGGGTGCCTGTAGTCCCAGCTACTCAGGAGGCTGAGGCAGGAGAATGGCGTGAACCTGGGAGGAGGAGCTTGCAGTGAGCCGAGATCGTGCCACTGTACTCCAGCCTGGGCGACAGAGTGAGACTCTTGTCTCAAAAAAAAAAAAAAAAAAGTTTACCCAGAGCTTTATTTTCTTCAGTTTCTTTGATTATAATGCTAATTTTAAGTGATATTTAACTTCATTACAAGTACAAAAAGCAAGAAAAGTAACTTGTCAGTTGTTTTTTTCTAAAAAGTTTTATTCAATCAATGAGAATTTTAGCTATTGACTTACAAGATTGAATATTAATAATCAAAGTTTTATTGAGAGCTACTATGAGCCTGGCTATGCTTACTACTGAGTTGATTAAAGAAATATGATATAATCCATGGTATGAAGATATTTATGATCTAGTTGAATAAATAGTAATATATTCATGTATAGTATATACTCTGCCATTCAAAGTAATGGCAAAAACCACCATTACTTTTGCACCAACCTCATATTACATTACTACTATATTTATTATATAATATGTATACAATACATATGTATTTAACATATACACACTGTATTGTATGTATTACTGTTTACTCACTGGACTATTTACCAGTGAACTATACACTTAAAAATGGTTGTGATGGGGGCCGGGTGTGGTGGCTCACGCCTGTAATCCCAGCACTTAGGGAGGCTGAGGCAGGCGGATTGCCTGAGATCAGGAGTTCAAGATGAGCCTGGCCAACGTGGTGAAACCCAGTCTCTACTAAAAATACGAAAAATTAGCTGGGCATGGTGGCGGGCGCCTGTAATCCCAGCTACTTGGGAGGCTAAGGCAGGAGAATTGCTTGAACCCAGGAGGCAGAGGTTGCAGTGAGCCTAAATTGTGCCATTGCACTCCAGCCTGGGCAACAAAAGTGAAACTCTGTCTCAAAAAAAAAAAAAAAAAGGTTGTGATGGAGGCTGGGTGCAGTGGCTCACGCCTGTAATCCCAGCACTTTGGGAGGCTTGGGGGGGTGGGGGTGGATCACCTGATGTCAGGAGTTCAAGACCAGCCTGTCCAACATGGTGAAACCGTGTCTTTACTAAAATACACAAAAATTAGCCTGGCGTGGTGGTGCATGTCTGTAATCCCAGCTACTCGAGAGGCTGAGACAGAAGAATTGCTTGAACCTGGGAGGCGGAGGTTGCAGTGAGCCGAGATCGCATCACTGCACTCCAGCCTGGGCAACAAAGAGTGAAACTCCGTCTCAAAAAAAAAAAAAAATGTTTATGATGGGCCACCGTGGTGACTCACGCCTGTAATCCCTGCACTTTGGGAGACCTAGGCGGGCAGATCACGAGGTCAAGAGATCAAGACCATCCTGGCCAACATGGTGAAACCCCGTTTCTACTAAAAATACAAAATTAGCTGGGCATGGTGGCATGCGCCTGAAATCCTAGCTGCTTGGGAGGCTGAGGCAAGAGAATCACTTGAACCTGGGAGGCGGAGGTTGCAGTGAGTGAGCAAAGATCCGCCACTGCACTCCAGCCTGGGCAACAAGAGCACAGCTCCATCACAGAAAAAAAAAAAAAAACCCATACAAAAATTAGCTGGCGTGGTGGCACACGCCTGTAGTCCCAGCTACTCGGAAGGCTGAGGCAGGAGAATCACTTGAACCCGGGAGGCAGATGTTGTAGTGAACCAAGCGTGCCACTGCATTCCAGCCTGGCAAGACTCTGTCTCAAAAAAAAAAAAAAGTTATGATGGCAAATTTTATATGTATTTTACCACAATACAAATAACTTAAAAAAAAAAGAATCTCTACATCCCCCTCCTCACCCTCCAGTGAGTAGAGGGATGCATAGACATGCATTTTATTGATATTCTGAGTATGGTTTTGTAACATCTTAGTGTTATGTTTTAAATGTTTTGCTGTCAAGAATGTAGGATACAATGTTGAGACATCATTTTTCTCTATCCATTCCCCTTCCATTAGACTTGTATTTTGTTATATTTCTAATGAATATTACTATTTCATGAACTTAGTCAATACTAGAAACTTCTCTACAGTTTGAATGTGATTTGTCCCAATGATATGAAAACCTGACTGTGTCATTGTTTTATCCTGTTATCTTTGAGTCATAGAAGCAGTTTTGTATCTTGCGTCAAGTAGTGTTTGTTTAAATATTGCAGATATGGCTTGATATTACAGATAAAGATGTTATGATGTCATCAGCTGTTATTGATTGTTGCTAATATTTCAGTAAATTAATTGTCATTTGCATATATTTTTTAAGTACCAGTTATCCATGACTCTTTTTTCTTTTCAGGCAGAAGAAATGTATGAGTAAATTATTAGAATATAGCGCTGATGTCAACATTTGTAATAATGAAGGCCTTACAGCAGTAAGTGCTATCAATTTCATCTGATGTTTTAAAAGTATGTTTTAGAAAATGATATTGAATGTGACAGTTAGGCAAAGTGTAGTACAAGTGTTTCTGCAAGTTACTTTTTTTTGAGACAGAGTCTCGCTCTGTCACTCAGGCTAGAGTGAGGTGGTCTAATCTGTGCTCACTGCAATCTCTGCCTCCTGGTTCAAGCGATTCTTGTGCCTCAGCCACCCAAGTATCTGGGATTACAGGTATGCGCCACCATGTCCAGATAATTTTTATGTTTTTAGTAGAGGTGGGGTTTCACCATGTTGGCCAGGCTGGTTTCTAACTTCTGGCCTCAAGTGATTCACCTGTCTCAGCCTCCCAAAGTGCTGGGATTATAGGCGTGAGCCACCGCACCTGGCCTGTGTTACTTCTTTATAGGGATTAAGAAGGTGTAGAATGATTTGAGATAAAGTTTTAAGCTATATTAAGATAAGTTATGGCTTACCATATTTCTCTCTTCTCCTTTTTAAGTTTATGACTTTTGTTTATTTTGAAGCTTATTCCCCTAGCCTTTGTCACTGACTTTTAAGGGACTTCCTAGGAGCATCTCTGCTGAGGTGTGTTATGTGTTCATTCTTGGAGAGCTGTTTTTCGTTATGTTCTTTTAAATACTTTTAATATGTTCATTGTAGAATTAGATAGCTAGTCAGAAAGGAATAAAAAAGGTAACAGAGGGAATGAGCACTCCCTGTATTCCTTGCACTCTGAGATAATCACGGTTAAAAAAAAAAAAAACTTTTGTATTTTCAGTAGAGACGGGGTTTCACCACGTTGGCCAGGCTGGTCTTGAACTCCTGACCTCAGGTGATCCACCCGCCGGCCTCCCAAAGTGCTAGGATTACAGGTGTGAGCTGCTGTGCCCGGCCAATAAAACCTTTTTTTAGAGACAGGGTCTCACTGTCACCCAGGCTGCAGTGTAGTGGCATGATCATAGCTCACTGCAACCTCAAACTCTTGGGCTCAAGAAATCATCCAGCATCATCCTTCCAAGTAGCTGGGACTATAGGTGTGTCTCACTACCCTTGGCTAGTATATTTTATATTTTTTTGTAGAGGTGGGGTCCTGCTTTGATGCCCAGGCTAGTCTTGAACTCTTGGCCTCAAGCAATCCTTTCACTTCTGCATCCCAAAGATAAAATTACTGTTAACATTTTGTCCTGTTATTAGACTTATATTTTATATAAAGTAGTATTGGCCATTTTGCCATACCACTTTCTTTGCAAAAATAAGTTTATGTATTTTTGAATCACATGGAGGTGGTATGGGATATTGCTGAAGAGATTGTTGAAATCCCAAAGTTTTAACCAAATTGTCATTATTTAATGGAGCATTATTAATTTTAGAAGTAGAGATAACATAGAATTATGTTACTGTTGAGTAGTTGTTTTGAAATCATGGCAGAAAATGTTAAGTTTTATTTATTAAATTATACATTCCTTTGATAGTATTTATATTTTGAATCTTTTAATTTTTGAATAAAGAATAATATTGAATATTTACTTACCATGCTGGTTTTCAAGGCCTTTATGATTAAAAATTGGGGAATGAGGTATAGAAAAACAACTTTCCTAAAATTTTGAATGGCTTATTATAGAATAAACTCAATCATGATTATTATATGGAATCTACAATTCCTGTAAAAATTCAGATTTTGTTATGTATTAATAATATAATACCACCTATTCTGTAAGGAAAGACTGTATTCTGAATATCCGTAGGATGCTTAGTGACACGGTACGTGCAACAGAGGGTTATGAAACCCTAGAAATGACATAGATCTTTCCTTAGGACACTAACCAGTTTAGGCATGATGGTTGAATGTTAATATAATCTGTTTTAATTGCATAAGATGTTTTCTGTTAATTTCTTCCCTTCCTTCCTGTACTTTAAGGGAGGTGGAATAGAAAATTTGTAAAAATAAAATTTTTATTTAACAAAATTATTCATGTATGTATTTAAAGAATCAAATATTCTACCTGGCTTGTAGAAAACAGTCTCTTGGCCTTCCTCCCCAACCTCCAAACTTCCCACTCCCTAAACAACTTCTCTCAGCTATTTTTTTTTTTTTTTTTGAGACAGAGTCTCACTGTTGCCCAGGCTGGAGTGCAATGGCGCAATCCCAGCTCACTGCAACTTCCACCTCCCGGGTTCAAGTGATTCTCCTGCCTCAGCCTCCCGAGTAGCTGGGAATATAGGCGCCTGCTACCATGCCCAGCTAATATTTTTTGAGACAGAGTTTCACTCTTGTTGCCCAGGCTGGAGTGCAATGGTGCTGTCTTGGCTCACTGCACCCTCCACTTACCGGGTTCAAGCAATTCTCCTGCTTCAGCCTCCTGAGTAGCTGGGATTTCAGGCATGTGCCACCACGCCCAGCTAATTTTGTATTTTTAGTAGAGACGGGGTTTCTCCATGTTGGTCAGGCTGGTCTTGAACTCCTGACCTCAGGTGATCTGCCCGCCTTGGCCTCCCAAAGTGCTGGGATTACAGGTGTGAGCCACCGCGCCCAGCCTTTTTTTGTATTTTTAATAGAGACGGGGTTTTACCAGGTTAGCTAGGCTGATCTCGAACTCCTGACCTCAGGTGATCCACCCGCCTTGGCTACCCAAAGTGCTCGGATTACAGGTGTGAGCCACCGCGACGGGCCTCTCTCAGCTATTTTAATGGATTTTAAAATGTTGTCTCTATATCTAAATAGCATGCTAAATGCTACTTCCTGGTTTTTTGGTTTTAGGTATCACCTGTTGACTTTCTGGAAGATGAGGCTATTGTTCTCTTTTTCAGCCCCTCCTCCCGCCCTGTGGTGTATAAGCACATTAGCCTTGTATCCCTCCAATACAATTATTGTAATTTTAGTTAGATCATTTTTGTGTGTTATTATTTTTTTGAGTACACGAAAACTATTCATAGTTAAGCCAAATAGTTGGTTATAGTTGCTTTCCTTTCTTGCATAACATTTTATTTTCCCTGTAGTTAATGATTGTCTTTTTTTAGAAATTAAGATAATTGTAGATTCACATGCAGTGCTAAGAAATAATAGAGAGAGAGAGTTGCCCTGCACTTTTTGCCGAGTTTCCTCCAGTGGTAACATTTTGCAAAACTATACTATAATATTACAGTAAGGACATGGACATTGATACAATCTGTCTTACTGAGATTTCCTCAGTTTTATTTTATTTTATTTTTTTGAGACAGAGTCTCGCTCTGTTGCCCAGGCTAGAGTGCAGTAGTGCAATCTCAGCTCACTGCAACCTCCGCCTCCTGGGTTCAAGCAATTCTCCTGCCTCAGTCTCCCGAGTAGCTGGGACCACAGGTGTGCGTCACCATGCCCAGCTAATTTTTGCATTTTTAGTAGAGATGGGGTTTCACGATGTTGGCCAGGCTGGTCTTGAGCTCCTGACCTCAGGTGATCTACCCGCCTTGGCCTTCCAAAATGCTGGGATTACAGGTGTGAGCCACCATGCCTGGCCTTCCTCAGTTTTAATTGTATGTGTGTGTGTATGTTTATGTATTTTAAGTTCTATTCATTTTTATTACTTGTGTAGGTTACCTGTGTAGTTTTATTACCTGTGTACATGGTAGGTTTTCACCACCATAGTCAATATTCTGAACATTTCTAACACCACAGAGATATGTCATGTTGCCCTTTTATAACCATACCTTTCCCTTTGTCCTTCACATCCCATGGCTAACCTATAGCAACCATTAATTTGTTCTCCATTAGTCATTTCAAGAATGTTACAGAGATAGAACTATATTGTATGGAACCTTTGGGGATTGGCTTTTTTTGTTTGTCACATTCCTTGGAGACTTATCTAGGTTATACTTATCAATAGTTTGTTCCTTTATAATGCTGAATAGTATTCCATCCAGTAGTGGATATACCACCATTTGTTGGACTGTTCACCTGTTAAAAGACATTTGGTTCACTTCTGGTTTGAGGCTATTATGAGTAAAGCTGTTAAAAACAGCAGGGTACACATTGGGATAAATGTCCAGGAATGCAGTTGTTTTCCGTAGTGGCTATACTAATTCACATTCCCACCAACAACATATGATAGTTCCTGTTTCTTGACATCCTTGCCAGCATTTCTTATTGCTTGTCTTTTGGATATAAGCCATTTTAATAGGGGTGAGATGATACCTCATTGTAGTTTTGGTTTGCATTTCTTTGATGATCAGTGATGTTGAGCACCTTTTTATATACCTGTTTTCCAGTTGTATGTCTACTTTTGAGAAGTGTCTACTCAGATCTTTCATTCTTTTTTTAATCAAAATTTTTTTTTTTTTTTTTTTTTTTTTTACTATGGAGTTGTTTGAGTTCCTTATATATTCTGGTTATTAATCCCTTGTCAGATGGATAGTTTGCAGTTATTTTCTCCCATTCTATGGGTTGTTTCTTTACTTTGTTGATTTTTTCCTTTCCTGTGCAAAAGTGTTTTAACTTGAAGTGATCCTATTTGTCCGTTTTTGCTTTGGTTACTTTTGCTTTTACTTAAAAGCAAATTTACTCAAGAAATTTGCTCAAGGGGTATTACTCAAGAAAGCTTTGCCCAAACCAATGTCCTGGAGAGTTTCCCCAGTGTTTTATTTTAGTAGTTTCATGTCTTAGATTTAAGTTTTTAATTAATTTTTGTTTGATTTTTGTATATGGCAAGAGATATAGGAGCCTAGTTTCATTTTTTGTGTATGGATATCCAGTTTTCCCGCACCATTTATTGAAGAGATGGTCCCTACCTCCAATGTGTGTTCTTGGCACCTTTGTAGAAAATGAGTTCACTGTAGATGTGTGGATTTATTTCTGGGTTCTCTGTTCTGTCCCATTGGTCTGTGTGTCTGTTTTTATACCAGTAACATGCTGTTTTGGTTACTATAGCTCTGTAGTATGATTTGAAGTCAGGTAATGATATTCCTCCAGTTTTGATCTTTTTACTCAGGATGGCTTTTGCTATTCTAGATCTTTTGTGATTCCATATAAATTTTAGAATTATCTTTTCTGTTTCTGTGAAGAATGTCATTGGTATTTTGATAGAGATTACATTGAATCTATAGATTGCTTTGAGTAGTATGGACATTTTGACAGTATTGATTCTTCCAACCCTTAGGAATATTTTTCCATTTTGTGTGTGTGTCTTCTTCAGTTTCTTGCATCTTTTTCTATAGTTTTCTTTTAGACATCTTTCACTTCTTTGGTTAAGTTGATTCCTAGGTATTTTATTTTATTTGTAGCTGTCATAAATGGGATTACTTTCTTTACTTCTTTTTCAGGTTGTTTGCTGCTGACATCAGAATGCTACTGATTTTTGCATGTTGATTTCATATTTTGCAACGTACTTATTTACCAGTTCTAACAGTTTTTTGGTGGAGTCTAAGTTTTTCCAAATACAAGATCATATCATCTGCAGACAAGAATAATTTGACATCTTTCTTTCTAATATGAATGTCCGTTATTTCTTTCTTTTGCCTGATTGCTCTAGCTAGGTCTTCCAGTACTGTTTCTAATAGTGGTGTTAAGAGGGTCTTTTGAAGAGCAAAAGTTTTTTAACTTTGAAGTCAAATTGATCAGTTTTTTGCATTATGGATCATGCTTTTGGTATCAAGAACTCTTTGCCTAGCACTCACTCCTGAAGATTGTCTCATATATTTTTTTCTACAAGTTTTATGTTTCTGTGTTTTACATTTAAGTCTATGATCTCTTTTGAGTTACTGTTTGCATAAGTTATGAGGCTTAGGTCAAGGTTTACTCTTTTTTTTCTGCCTATGAATGTCCAGTACTAGCACTGTTTGTTGAAAAGGCTGTCCTTCCTACATGAATTTGCTTTTGCATCTGTTTCAAAAATCAGTTGGGCATATTTGTGTGGACCCACTTGTGGACTTTATATTCATTCCACTGATCTGTGTGTCTCTGCTAATCTCTCTGCTAATACCACACTGTCTCGATTACTGTAGCTGTAAGTCTTAATACCAGGTAGAATAATTCCTCTCACTTTGTCAAGATTGTGTTAGCCATTCTGATTCCTTTGCCTTTCCATATAAATTTTAGAATAAACTTGTCTGTGTCTACAAAAAAACCTTGCTGGGATTTTGATTGGAGTTGCTTTAAACTGATAGGTCAATTTGGGGAGAATTGTTATCTTTACTGTGTTGATTGAGTCTTTTAATCCATAAACACAGTATATCTCCACACTTACTTAGGTCTTTGATTTTATTCATTAGAATTTTGTACAGCACAGTGGGGATTTTGTGCATGTTTTGGTAAGCATATAACTGTTTCATTTTCTTTGGCATAATTATAAATGGCCTTGTGTTTTTAATTTGAGTTTATGCATGTTCAGATGGAAATGCAATTGGTTTTTGGTTTTGCAATCTTGCTGAACTCACTTATTAGTTCTGGGGGACTTTGGGCAAATTGCTTGAGATTTTCTACATAGACAGTCATGTTGTCTGCACGTAGAGACAGTAATTTGTTTATTTATTTATTTAGACAGAGTCTCACTCTGTCACCCAGGCTACAGTGCAGTGGCGCAATCTCAGCTCACTGCAACCTCTGCCTCCTGGATTCAAGCAATTCTCCTGCCTTAGCCACCCTAGTAGCTGGGATTACAGGTGTGTGCCACCATGCCCAGCTGATTTTTGTATTTTTAATAGAGACGGGGTTACACCTTGTTGGCCAGGCTGGTCTTGAACTCCTGACCTCCGGTGATTCACCCGCCTCGGCCTCCCAAAATGCTGGGATTACAGGTGTGAGCCACCGCGCCAGGCCTTTATTTCTTTCTTCGCAGTTTGTATGTCTTTTGTATTTGTTTCTTGCCCTACTGCAACTTTATTACTTTAAAGTTTTCTTATAACTTTTTACTAATTCAATTCCAAGGTCTCTCTCAGCTTTGTAAATATCCTCTTAATATGTATTCAGTACCTTTCATGTGCTTGATTATGTCTTGAAGGAGTCTCTTACGGAGACTTCTGTGCTCTCTTGGCTGGATTGGTTGATACCTAGGTCTGCTGCACAGTTGTTTGGAATGTCTCATCATCTGGGGATTCCTTTTGCTTTTTTCTTGCTTTGGGTTCTCTTGTTATATGGGTCTCATATCCATCTTTTCTGATAACTATTCTGTCACTCTGATGGAGCACAACCCTGAGAGTTTCCTGAGAGTGTGCATGGGAGATGTGTTGCCACCTTGCATGTTTGATATGACTTGAGTCTTTGAGTCTGATTATGTAATTGACAGTTTAGCTGACAATCTAGACAAGACATCATTTTTCCTTAGAATTTTGAAAGCATTGCTTTGTTGTGTTCTAGCTTTGTTTTGAAGTTTAGTGCTATTTGGATTCTTGATTCTTTATATGAAACCTGTTTTGATTTTTCTCTCTAGAAACTTATAGAATCTACTTTGTCCTTAGTGTTCTAAAATCCTGTGATTATTATGTCTTGCTTTGGATTTATTTTATCCATTTCGATGGATAATATTGAGACCCTATCAACCTGGAAACTCATGTAATAGGAACTTATGAGAAATATTCATAAATTATTACTTTCATGATTTCTTTTTCTGTCTTTTCTCTGTTTTATTTTTTCCCCAACTCCTATTATTTAAATGTTAGACCTATTCACACTAGCCCTTTAATTTTCCTACTTTTTCTCATTTCTTTTCTTTGTACTTTTAGGGAGACTTCCTCAATATTATCTCCTAATTCTTGTTTTGAGTTTGCACGTCTCTATCATAGTATTAATTTCCAAGAGTTTTTTTTCCTTGTCTCTTTCAAAAAATAGTATCCTTTTCTCATTTCAGGGATGCAATCAGTATGTTCTCCCTCTGACAGTATTAAATATAGTTTTTTCTTGAATATTCATGGTTCCTTTTTCCCCCTACTTTTTGCTTTAAAAAAATTTGTAGTTTGTCTTTCAAATTAGATGCGTTTATCAGATGTTTGGTGGAAATGGAAAAAGCTATTTGAAGGCTGTCAGCATGAGTGAGGCTTTGTTCACTAGAGGCTTCAGTGTAGGATGATCTCCTTGGACATTTGCCTCTTAGACCTTTCCAGTGTCGATTTCTTTAGGCATTTACTCTTGAACTGGTCATATTCCTCAGAGAAGACTCTTCCAACTGCCCGGAAGATGTTAACAGTCTGCGTGCTGGATAGAGAAGAATGCTTTGTAAAATCAATATTCAATATTTAAACTTGCACTTAATCTCCCCTTTTTAGTGTGGTATTCTTTGTTCAATGTGCCTGTTGTCTCTTATCTAGAGACTGTTTTCAAGCCTCTTGCATTCTATCTGGTTGAGTGGGGGCCATTACTGGCCTTGCACAGTTGGGGAGGGGTAGAGATATGAGGCTCTAAATCTTATTAAATAAACTTTCAACCTCTTTTCAAGAGGTGCATGGTACTTACTATTGATTCTTGAGCCTTTTGGGAGTCCTGTGATCTGAATCACATTTTTTGGGGGGTTTCTCTAATACTGGTGTAGCATTCTGACAAGTCAACAAGTATAATCTGACAAGATAAAAAGCATCATCTACTTTCTTTGCTTCCAAAACTTGCTGTTCTCTCCTCTGTATCTTTATGGATCTAGTCTTTTAAGGAAATACTCTTTACTCTCATTTCCGTGGGGTTTAGGGAAGAAGTAGAGACTGATGCATGGATTAAACCTGCCATTTTAAAACAGGGATTTCATGATTTTCTTTTTAATGAAAAAAAATCATGTGAAAAATTAATGGATAGCATAGTCCAGAGTTTTAACATTGATTATCTTTGAGTGGTAGACTTATAGGTGTTTTATATATTTTTTACCCTCCTTTATTTATGTAAGATACATGTGTTACTTGTAAAATACAGGAAGTAAGGAATATAGCATTGCTATGTTAATTACTTTTTAACTTATGTTTGCTTCTGGGAAAAGAAAAATATCTAACACCTTTTCTCCAGAGACAAACTATGCATAGAGTCCAGGATTATCTGAGAAGCAGAGTATTTGATGATTGGGAGCTTAGTATACTTACTGTTTTGAACCATTATGAGTTATTTTAAAACGATTTTTTTTTTTTTGGAAATAGGTTGTCATTCTGTCACACAGGTAGGAGGAGTGCAGTGTCACCATCATAGCTCATTATAGCCTCAAACTCCTGGGCTCAAGGGATCCTCCCACCTTAGCATCCTGAGAAGCTAGGACCATAGGTGTATGCCACCATGGCCAGCTAATTTTTTTTTTTGAGACGGAGTCTTACTGTGTTGACAGGCTGGAGTGCAGTGGCACGATCTCAGCTCACCGCAACTGCCGCCTCCTGGGTTCAAGTGATTCCCCTGCCTCAGCCTCCCAAGTAGCTGGGATTACAGGCACGCACCACCACGTCCAGCTAATTTTTTGTATTTTAGTAGAGACAAGGTTTCACCATGTCGGCCAAGATGGTCTTGATCTCCTGACCTTGTGATCCGCCTGCCTCAGCCTCCCAAAGTTCCGGGATTAGAGGCTTGAGCTACCGTGCCCGGCTGCCCAGCTAATTTTTGAATTTTTTGTAGAGACAGGTTCTTGCTACATTGCCCAGGCTGATCTTGAACTCGTTGCTTCAAGCAATCCTCTTGCCTCAACTTCCCAAAGTGCTGGGATTACAAACGTGAGTCACCACTTGGAGCCCCACTGAGTTCTTGATTTTGAAATCTGTGGTAATGTAATCTGCATCTTGATACCGAAGTTTTCCTCATATAAAACCTAATTTCAGCTATTTAGGAGGCTGAGGCAAGAGGATCACTTGAGCCCAGGAGTTTGAGTCCAACCTGAACAACATAGCAAGACCCCAACTCTAAAAAACCCCCAAACCTGTAAATAAAACTTAAACAAATTTAAAAAAGGAAAAAAATGACATGGACTTAAAATACCTTTAGTTTTAAACCATTACATGGACTTAAAACACCTTTAGATTTGCATGTGCAAATCACGCCCAGCTGAGAAATAACATTATTTATCTGCTGTTTTTATATAAAACACTATTACACAAATGTTAAGTAACTAAATGGCTTCACAGATACATTGGCTGGCTGTGAATGGGCGGACAGAACTACTCCATGACCTTGTGCAGCATGTCAGTGATGTTGATGTTGAGGATGCCATGGGGCAGACAGCACTGCATGTTGCCTGCCAGAACGGTCACAAGACGGTAAGTTGAGCCATGAGGACTTTAAGCTGCATGTGTTTGTTTTTTAAAATTGATTTCATGAAAAGTTTTTCATTGTGCATATTTGGGAACATGAAGCATTATAGCAAAATCTTATTTTCTGCATCATATGGACTTTTTTTTTTGAGACAGGGCCTCACTTTGTTGCCCAGGCTGGAGTGCAGTGGTGGGATCCTAGCTCACTGCAGCCTTACACTCCTGGGCTCAAATGATCCTTCCACCTCAGCCTCACGAGTAGCTGGGATTACATGCGTGAACCACTGCACCTGGCCCATATGGACTTCTGATAAATATATTCTGTATGGTTAGAAGAAATAGAAAATAGTGCTTTTGGGCTGGGAGCCGTGGCTCACAGCTGTAATCCCAGCACTTTGGGAGGCTGAGATGGGTGGATCTCTTGAGCTCAGGAGTTCAGCCTGGGCAACATGGCGAAACCCCATCTCTACTAAAAATACAAAAAAATTTAGCTGGGTATGGTGGCATGCATCCGTAGTCCCAGCTGTTCCGGAGGCTGAAGTGGGAGAATTGCTTGAGCTCAGCAGTCAGCGGTTGCAGTGAGCTGAGATTGTGCCACTATACTCCAGCCTGGGTGACAGAGTGAGAGCCTGTATCAAACAACAACAACAACAACAACAACAACAAAAAACAGGAAAATAGTGCTTTTATATCTGTTCAAAATATTTGTAATTTGCATTTTGATTTTATTTCTAATTCATAGGTTTTAATAGCCAAACATACTAAATTTTTAAATGTAGTATATTCACATTTAATTTTAACATTTATAATGTTCATTCTGTTCTCAGTTTTAGCAAATAAAACTTCATATTTTATTTTATCTTTTGCTGTTAAGCCTCAATTTTGGAGATTAGATAGTGAGGAAAGTGAGCAATGACACTGGTTAATAGTATGAGTCAGGTTATCCTATTTTTCTACTTGCATTGTGTATGGTACAAGTAACAGTTCTTTCTTTTCTTTCTTTTTCTTTTCTTTCTCCTTCCTTCCTTCCTTCCTTCCTTCCTTCCTTCCTTCCTTCCTTCCTTCCTCTCTTCTCTTCTCTTCTCTTCTCTTCTCTTCTCTTCTCTTCTCTTCTCTTCTCTTCTCTTCTTTCTCTTTTCTTTCTCTCTCTTTTTTTTGATGGAGTCTCACTCTGTTCCCCAGGCTGGAGTGCAGTGGCGCCATCTCGGCTCACTGCAAGCTCCGCCTCCCGGGTTCATGCCATTCTCCTGCCTCAGCCTCCCGAGTGGCTGGGACTACAGGGACCGGCCACCACGCCCGGCTAATTTTTTGTATTTTTAGTAGAGATGGGGTTTCACTGCGTTAGCCAGGATGGTCTCAATCTCCCGACCTCATGATCCGCCTGCCTCGGCCTCCTAAAATGCTGGGATTACAGGCGTGAGCCACCGTGCCCGGCCTCTTTCTTTTCTTTTCTTTTTTTTTTTGAGACGGAGGCTCGCTCTGTCACCCAGGCTGGAGTGCAGTGGCATAATCTCAGCTTACTGCAACCTCTGCCTCCCAGGTTTAAGTGATCCTTGTGCCTCAGCCTCCTAAGTAGCTGGGATTACAGGTGTGTGCCACCACACCCAGCTACTTTTTGTATTTTTAGTAGAGATGGGGTTTTGCCATGGTGGCCAGGCTGATCTTGAATTCCTGGTCTCAAGTGATCTGCCTGCCTCAGCCTCCCAAAGTGCTGGGATTACAGGTGTGAGCCACCGTGCCTGGCTATTTTCTTTCTTACTCTAGGTTTCTAAAATCATGCATTTGTTTTATGACAATGCTTTCCTGTTATTCCTGTGTCCAGACATTTGGCTTTTGAAATTGCTATTTCTCTCTCATTAAGAGACTTTACTGCCTTATATAAAGATGGAGGGCTTAAGATTTTAGATTGAATTTCTGCTTTGCTGTAATTTTCTACCTTGTTTATGTTTTTAAGTTTTTTCTTTTTTTAACATTTAACATTATTGGTAATAGAATGTACAGGTGTGTGCCAGTAGTCTCAGCTGTTTGGGAGGCTGAGGTGGAGAGGTCAAGATTAGGTGGAGAGATCCCTTTGCCCAGGAGTTGTGGGTTGTAGTGCACTATGCTGCTTGGATGTCCACACTAAGTTTGGCATGAATATGGTGACCTCTCAGGATGCCAGATAGCTTAAGGAGAGGTGAACCAGAACAGGTCAGAAACAGCAAGTCACAACCCCCATGCTGGTCTGTTTGTGGGATCATGCTAGTGAATTACCACTGCACCTCGTCTCTTCAAAAAAAAAAAAAAAAAGAATGTAATTTATTTTCTTGCTGACCATAATAACAACAACAAAACCAACTCAAAGTCAGTACCATTAACTACAAGGATACAAAGTTTGTTTATTTTTTTGGTTACAAACTTTCTGAGTCTTATCTCTTGTTGGGAGAAGGGAGAATTCCTAGTGGAATCTGGATTTTTATCTCTTCAAACACTTTTTCCTTAACCTGGTTTCAGGATGTATGATCACAATTCACAGAATATTGGACTTCTTCAAGATAGTAGGCAAAGGTGACATTGTCTTATGTTTAATATGGTGTTGGAAAAATGGAGGGTTATAGGATCCTTTTTCTGTTTCCTGGAATTTTTTCTGGACACCATTGTTCATTTGCATTTTTTGTCTTTTATCATCTGAAAACCAATGCAGTGTTTTCAAGTATATTCTTCTCATTAGTTTTTACTTAGAGTCAATATTATTAAATTTAAAACGTATTCTATGTGGGAAAAAAAGATGTGAAATGTCCTAATCTTGAGTGACCCAGGTTTTTAAGGCACTATTGCATATTAGAGAATGAGTCTAGCCGATAGCTCTCAGAGGACAGAAGAGCACCTGCTTTAATATAAACACCCTTTGCTATAACAGGTGAGCAGAGTGTCATTTACTAAGACTTGCACACCCTACCTGTTGCCCAGGAACTTGGATAGGAAAATACTGGGATTCAGATTAGAAAAAGATTTATAAAAGCTAATTTTAGCTGCTTTGAACCAGTATAGAAGCAAGAATTACTAAGAAAACCTTGTTCAAAACATGTGCATTACAGGCTGCATTAAAAATTTAGAATTGCCTTCTGAAGTTACTGAAAATTAGGTGGTATAAGTATAATATACTCCATATGGTTTACAACCTAAAGCAAGTGTGGTAAAATAATGGAGAATTCCTCATAGTCAGATGCCTTTGAACAATTGTATTCTCAGAAGATTTATAGGGAGTCTGACTTCATTGTGGTGATGAGTTTCACAGAATGAGATTTTGCAGACAGAGTAGAGGAGGAGGGGTACAAAAAGTCATGTTGACTTGTGGTTGATTATGTAATGGCCAACAGGATTTATTCTGTCATAGTTGGTCAATTATAGTTACCTGCAATGATCATATACAGGTAAAGGGAATGCTTAGCACTGATTATTTTCTGGATCGTTACCTATGATGATCATATAAACATAAAGGGAATGCTTAGCACTGATTATTTTCTGAATCATTGTATGTATCTTTATTCCTTTTTCAATTAGGACAAGAGGGAATCTTGAAAAATTAGTCTATTTCTTTTCCTCCTGGCTGAAGTATAGTTCTACAAATCTGTGTTCATAGTTGTGCTAATACTGCCTGTTTCAGAATTACTCATGTATTTCTGGGACACATTCACATCTCAGTGTATAAGTGTATTGTTTTATCTTGAGTTGCATGTGATTTACTGGGCTATGAAATATGATGTTATAGGATAAAGGTTACTGATTTATTAAAAACCATTTGTATATCTTTCCATAAGTTGAACACTGAGTGTATAATGCTTTGTCAGGTATCCTAGTGACTCAGTGGCAAGTCAGAATGGCCTTTTTGTTGTTCAGAACTGGTGTCCATGTAGACATATACCAGTGCATGTAAGTTTCAATATTTTATTTTTAAGCTTAGGAGCTTACATAATTCTGATTATATATATTTTATAGAATAAAATAGAAAACTTTAAATGGGGAAAAAATTCCATTAAGAAATAAAGCACATGAGCTCTTTTCAAAGAGGCATGGATGATAAATCCTCTGAAATTCGCCTTCTAATCTCATTTTAGAGTAAATCTGAGGAGTGCATGAAAACATTTTGAGCAACTAGCTAAGCACCCTAAAACTTTGTAGAATATATAGCTAAATGCTATATTCTTGCTTCAATGACAAGAAGTGCTTTTTCAAATTTATATTACATTTTTTAAGGATAAAAGATTCAGAAGATTCATTTTTGTCATAACTAAGAACTTGAGTAATCTTAAATATGATTTCATATAGATGCAGCTGTTGCATTAGAGGTAAACATGATAAAGGTCTCATTTTCCTCTTGGAAGGAAGTGGTTTGGGCAGTTGAAGAGTGCACTCTGTTTTTTGTCATTGTAGCATAATAGCACCATGATTTTAAACTACTTCTATCCGTATTTAATAATGATCAGATGAAAGGAATCATAACAACTTCTTAATAATTTTATTTTTATATAACTTTTCTTAGATCAACTGTTAAACTCCATTCTTAGCTGTATCATACCAGAATTCTGGTATGTCTTTGGATACTGATTTCAAAAAATCATTTCAAAGTTTGGTTATTCAACTGGAGATATAATTTTACTGGTGATATAATTAAGGAAAATGTGAACACTTTGGAAGGCATTTAACAGCAATAATACCTACTGCTATTATGATTGTTATTAATATGTGTGATGTGATTCTGTAAAAGTACACAGATCAGTGTCTAGACCCTTTATTTATTTATGCTTATACAAGAAGCTGGGCCCAGTGTGTTGTTTTTTAATTTCAGTTTTAGCAAGTTGAGTAAAACCTAACACTATTCTCTGTAGGTATAATTTATTAACGCTTTTTGGACCATAAATTAAACCTAGTTTTTGGTAACTTTTTCTTTAAGATTTATAAATGTGTTGAATTGCCAAAAATGTTAATTACAGTCTTCTCAGAATAACGTGGATTTAGAAACCGTAGAGAACTGTCAAATAGTTCAGTCTAAATTTCTGTAAGTTAGATTACATGGCAGGATTAGTTAGGGACTAATTTGTAATTTATTTAAAAATAAATTTCACTTTTATCAGAATAAACCTTATTAAGTTTATGTAACTAAATACAAAGCTTCACAAACAACATAAAATGATAGTTGAACCCTTAGTATAATAGACTATATTAGACAGAACTGACTGCATTTTTTTACTAAAATCATAGACTTGTTAAGGAACAGTGCTCAACTATGTTCAGTCAGCTCTCTTGGTATCTTTAGCCAGCTTCCAAGTTTTTCATCCAGTTACGGACAGCCATGTAAACTTAATTGAAAACATTTTCCAGACATTAATTAGATTCAGCCTTGAGGCACAAAGGTAGGTAGACTAACATTTCAGAGTATATTCCTAGGGTCAGAGTAATTGTATTTATTCTAATGCTAGAATTCTCCTTTAATCATTTCTAAGAAGTTGAAACAAATAGTAGAAAGTTCTCTTACCACTGTTACTTTTATAACACAACCAGATGATAATGATTTTTGCCGGATACTATGTAAGAATTCAAAGTTCTCAATAGGTGAAGGTGGACAGGTTTTTAGAGAAGACATGTGTAAACCAGTCACTGATTAGTGAGTTGGGAGTTTTACTTAGTGTATAAGTTATTTGTGCATTGCCATAACTCATGTCATCAGAATTATTTTTAATAAAAAAAGTAAGGACACTTTTTTTGTTGTTTGGTCTCCTTTTAGCTAGTGATAATACCACAACTTTGATTTTTACTTAGAGTTTTATCATTGAATATCTATTCCTTTTTACTTTGATCAGTGTTTTGAGAGTTGACATTGATAAAGTAGGGCTGCCTTGGATTTCTTGCTTTGTAATTTATCAGTGTATTGGGCACAGGTGGTCTTGGTTAGTCACCGCCTTCAATTAAATGACTTGAGATTGACCTACACATTAGGTTTGTATGTTCGTTTTCCACTCAGGATATTGTTTTGTCACTTGAAAGGTTATGAAGTCTGTTGAAATATGTTATTTCTTCTTAAGGATCTCTTGAAGGCCATATGAAAATCCCCTATGCTTTTCTTTTGCGGTTCCTCCGCAATAGTTTCTTATTCTGTAAGGAGGAGGGAACCCCATTCTAGATAATCAATGACTAGGGGAATAGATAGTTTTTTTTGGTGGGGAGAGAAGGGGTGGAATTGGGCAGGGAATTTGCAATTCTAAATTTTTTTAAAAGTCTGTTTTGTCGATCCAGTTTTAGGCATATAGCTCTTAAAATTATGTATAAATGTAGCGTAGCTCTTAAAATTATGTATATTAACTTGAAAAATACATAGGTAATCATTTATCAGTCACCTATTTATGTTGGCATGCTTTTACGTGTTTGCATTTAGTAAATTGTAAGCCACTGCGCTTAATTTTAGCAAGTAAATGAGAAGCCATATAATTTTAAAAATAGAAGGTATGACCATCATTGTAAATCACAATTGTTAGGTTTTTTGGACTTCATGGCTTATAGATCAGTGCATTTTTCACAGAAGTATTTGTGGGATTTTAGGGGCAAGAAATTTGCTAAAATAAATTGAATCCAAATCATAGAAAATCCTGGTTTATTTTTCTGGATAGCACTGATCACCATCTAGTACACTACAGATTTTGTTTATTTACATCTTGTCACTTTATCTTCCCTTTCTACTATAAACTTCTTGAAGGCAGGTTTTTTTGTCTGTTTTGTTCATTGTTGTAACTCGAGTATCTAGAGTCGTGCATAGCACATAATTTAGAGCAGTGGTCTCTAACCTTTTTGGCACTAGGGCCCAGTTTCATGGAAGACAAGTTTTCCACAGTCAGAAATCGAGGGGATGGTTTTGGGATGAAACTGTTCCACTTCAGATCATCAGGCATTAGATTCTCACAAGGAACTTGTGCCTAGATCCCTTTCATGGGCAGCTTACAACAGAGTTCATGCTCCTATGAGAATCAAATGTTGCTGCTGATCCGACAGGAGGCAGAGCTCAGATAGTGATGTTCACTTGCCTGCCACTCACCTCCTGCTGTGTGGCCTGGTTCCTGATTTAGAGTAGTGCATAACACATTATCTAGAGGAGGGCATAGCACATAATGGGTATAGATTTTTGTTGAAAGATGGAAGAAACTGGTGGAGGGTGTCCAGATTCTTGGCATTTTGAACAAAGAATTGGACAAAATACACAAACAAGTAATGAAGCAGCAAAAGCAGATATTTATTGAAAACAAAAGTATACTCCACAGGGTGGGAATTGGCCCCAGCAGCTGCTCAAGGTTCTGGATACAGAATCTTCTGGGGTCTAAATACCCCATATATGTTTCCCATTGGCCACTTGGTGTTCGCCTCATGTAAATGAAGTGGTGGCCTGCAATCAATCAGAGGCTGAAGTTACAAAGGTCACACCCCTATGCAAACATCTGATTGGTTGTGGGAAGCAACTAATCAGAGGCTAAAGTGAAGTTACAAAGTTGCACTTCTGTGCATTTGAAGACTTGGCCCTCAGTCCGATTGCTTGCACATAACTACCTTCAGTTAGTCTGATTGGTTGCTATGTGCAGCCAATCAGAGGTTGGTTGCTGTGTGCAACCAATCCGAGGCTGAAGTGAAGTTACAGAGTTAGACTCCTATGCAAACGTCTGATTGGTTGCTTTTTACAACCAATCAGTGGTACTTTCAATTTCCCATCTGCCTCGCAAAGAGGTGGGGGTTTGCAAAGGTCGCTGGTCCTTTTGTTACTTAGGCGTGGAAAGTTAGGGTTTTCCTTCCAATTTATTTCTAGGAAGTCAGGGTGAAGTGGCCTTAGGTTCCCTGACTGCAGACCCTATTCTCCTGCCTCAAAACCACTCAAATGCAGGATCATTTTGATCCATATATTCTGCCATTTTCTTTGCATTTCTTTCTTTCTTTTTTTTTTTTTTTTGAGACGGAGTCTTGCTCTGTCCCCCAGGCTGGAGTGCAGTGGCGCATCTCAGCTCACTGCAAGCTCCACCTCCCGGGTTCACTCCATTCTCCTGCCTCAGCCTCCCGCGTAGCTGGGACTACAGGCGCCCGCCACCACGCCCGGCTAATTTTTTGTATTTTTTTTTTTTTTTAGTAGAGACGGGGTTTCACCGTGTTAGCCAGGATGGTCTCAATCTCCTGACGTCGTGATCTGCCCGCCTCGGCCTCCCTAAGTGTTGGGATTACAGGTGTGAGCCACCGTGCCCGGCCTTCTTTGCATTTCTAAATGTTTGTCACTTTTTTTCCTTTTGTATCTTTAAGTGGAGTGTATATTGATAGTGCTGATTCTTACAAAAGGTTGTATCTGTTTGTATCTATTGCTGAAAATTTCTCCTTTTGAGAATCCTTAGGGATTTTAAAAGTTTAATCCAGAATTTATTCTCTTGAATTATGTTGTGCCTTATGCTTTGATGCTTTGATACAATTTAAAACTCTCAGGTAGTGTTGTTTCTTCAAGAGCCTTTATGTATTTATTTTAACTTAATAAATGCTCAGAGTACATTTTCATCTATCTAAGTTTTAACCTTTGGGCACACATGAACAGTTTTCACATAGTTGAAAACATTGATTATCTTGTAGCACTTTGGAAGAATGTATGTGGAGTCTTGAAACTCCGTTGTTAAATTCCAGTTGTTAAGACCAGGCAATAAATACATCATTATAGTTCTACATAGCTATTTATCATTCATGATATCTCAATATCGTATGTGTGTATTGTCAACAAGAAAATAATTTGTTATTGTGGTTAGACCTTTTGCTTTACCACTGAAATATTGTTACTCTGGATTATTTGAGAATGAGACTCCATTTTGCACACTACTGTATGTCCAATTAAGGAGTAGTAAGAGACTTGGGAGGGCTCACCTTCCGAACAAGGCTCAGTAGAAACAGCCAGACTAGTAATGGGATGGGTTGGATAAGTGTTAACAGCCTCTGTCCCCTCGCCTAACACTAAGTAGACCTTCCTTATTATCCTTACTACTCATCACTGTGCAGTCTGCTAATTGTTGAGGTGAGTACATTTAAGGTTTCTTCTGTACTTGAATTATCTTTACTTGCTGTCCTCAGAGAAATGACTGGAGAGTTTCTTAAAACTGTGATTCAGGTTGTCTGTGACTTCCTAGCAGCTTTTCTTATTAGGCCATTTAATCAATAATTGACTGAATTCTGCATTTTCCTTTCCCTTCCTATTTTAGAGCTTTTACAAAAAGAAAACCGCCAGCAAACATCTTTTTTTTTTTTTAATTCACAAAGATAGATGACTTTGCACTCATTTCAGTGCTGCAAGGCAATTTTTTATTCTTTAAAATTCCTTTATACATTTTTATCCTAATTCTAAGGGAAGTAGGTTTTTCTCTGTTTTTTTATTTTTGGTTTTTATTGGGGGATTGGAGCAACATTTTATCTGCAAGTGCGCTATTGAAAACTTTAAAAATATGTTTCTTTTAATAGTTGCATATTTTGAGGATCTTCATCGGGCTGTTTTTTTTAAAAAAATAGAAAAGTAGAAAGATTTATGAATGGAAAATAAAATGCTGGAACAAGTAATTTCCAATTTTTTTTTTTTTTTGAGACAGAGTCTCGCTGTGTTGCCCAGTCTGGAGCAGTGGCATGATCTTGGCTCACTGCAACCTCTGCCTCCCAGGTTCAAGCGATTCTCCTGCGTCAGCCTCCGAAGTAGCTGGGATTACAGGTGCCCACTGCCATGCCCAACTAATTTTTGTATTTTTAGTAGAGACAGTGTTTCACCATGTTGGCCAGGCTGATCTTGAACTCCTGACCTCAGGTGATCCACCTGGCCTCCCAGAGTGCTGGGATTGCAGGTGTGAACCATTGTGCCCAGCCTCCGATTTTTTAATCAAGTGTTTTTCTCTCTTAAAAAAAAATTAATGTCTTTGTAGGATATATTAAAAGTGATAGCAAAAACCACAATTACTTTTTCACCAACCAAATACAAGGCTATGACAGTTTATATTGTAAATCATGTTTTTTTTCTATGATTTGCTTCAAGTTTGTCTCACCAGTTTGATGAGAACAGTAGAGGAGTATGTTAGTCTAATGAATAAATTGTTTTTATATTGTAAGCGCTACAGTATAAATAGAAATACGAAGCAGTATAAAAAATACATGGTTTAAAATACCATTACTTTTTTTTTTGGAGACACGGTACAGGCTGGAGTGCAGTGGCGCGATCTCCGCTCACTGCAACCTCCGCCTCCTGAGTCCAAGCAATTCTCCTGCCTCGGCCTCCTGAGTAGCTGGGATTACAGACATGTACCACCACGCCAGGCTAATTTTTGTATTTTTAGTAGAGACGGGGTTTCATTATGTTGGCCAGGCTGGTCTTGAACTCCCGACCTCTAGTGATCCGACTGCCTCGGCCTCCCAAAGTGCTAGGATTACAGGTGTGAGCCACCGCGCTCGGCCTACTTTTTTTATTTTTTATTTAGAGACAGGGTTTCACTCTGTTGAACCGGCCGGAGCGTAGTGGTGTGATCATAGCTCACTGTAACCTTGAACTCCTGGGCTCAAGTGATTCTTCTGCCTCAGCCTCCCAAGTAGCTAGGGCTACAGGCACACACCACCACACCTGGCTAATTTTTTTTTTTTTTTTTTTCTGAGATGGAGTCCTGCTCTGCCTCCCAGGCTGGGGTGCAGTGGCGTGGTCGCGGCTCACTGCAAGCTCTGCCTCCTGGGTTCATGCCATTCTCCTGCCTCAGCCTCCTGAGTAGCTGGGACTAGAGGCTCCTGCCACCACGCCTGGATAATTTTTTTGTATTTTTTTTTTTTTTTTTTTTAGTAGAGACGGGGTTTCACCGTGTTGATCTCCTGGTCTTGATCTCCTGACCTTGTGATCTACCTGCCTCAGCCTCCCAAAGTGCTGGGATTACAGGTGTGAGCCACCGCGCCCGGCCCACGCCTGGATAATTTAAAAAAAAAATTATGACTTTCTTTTGTAGAAATGGTGGTCTCACTATGTTGCCCAGATTGGTCTTGAACTCCTGGCCTCAAGCACTCCTCCCACTTTGGTCTCCCAAAGCCCTGTGGTTACAGGCATGAAAATAGCATTACTTTAAAACCATACACAAGTAGCTGTCTAGGTACTTAAGCTTGACTCTGTAATAGTTATTTAGTAGGGAGTTACTAGATTATCTGTGATTAATGTAGTTTATGAAGATGTGTCAGATTAGCCGTTAGTACTAAATAAATACTATTTAGTAATCTGAATTCAGAAGAATTATAATGCCTACTTTTTGATAAATAGAATAGTGATTATGAACATGGACTTGGGTTTTAATCCCTGCTTCAATGTTTACTTATGTGTTGGGGTACAAATTACATGATCTCTTTGACACTCAATTTCCTGCTTATAAAAGTGAAGAGAATATCACCTTCCTCGAAAGATGCATTAAATGAAATGATAAATGCTTATTAGCACACTGTCTGGGTACATATTAGTGTTATTTACGTTATATCATTACATAGTTTTAACAGTATAGTTTTTATAAATAGTATATTTTGTTAAAATTTCTTTATTACAGTTTCTGGATTGTTAGGTTTTAATTGCATGCTAATATATATTTTCAGTGTATTGGCTTTCATCTCTCCTGAGCCAGTTGAGAGTTGAAGACTTATTTTCTATAATTTCTTTTTTTTTAACTTTTATTTTGAGTTCAGGGGTACAAATACAGGTTTGATACATAGGTAAACTTGTGTCACGGGGCTTTGTTGTACAGATTATTTCATCACATAGGTAGCCTAGTATACATTAGTTATTTTGCCTCATCCTTTCCCTCCTCCCATCCTCCACCCCTTTGAAAGGCCTCAGTGTATATTGTTCCCCTCTGTATCCATGTGTTCTCATCACTGAGCTCCCACTTATTAGAGAGAACGTGTGGTATTTGGTTTTCTGTTCCTGTGTTAGTTTGCTAAGGATAATGACCTGCAGCTCCATTCATGTCCCTGAAAAGGACATTGTCACGTTCTTTTTTATGGCTGCATAGTATTCCGTGGTGTATATGTACCTCATTTTCTTTATCCAGTCTACCATCGATGGGCATTTAGGTTGATTCCATGTCTTTGCTATTGTGAATAGTGCAGCAGTGAACATATGTGTGCATGTATCTTTATAATAGAATGATTTATATTTCTTTTGGGTATATACCCAGTAATGGGATTGCTGGGTCAAATGGTATTTCTGTCTTTAGGTCTTTGAGGAATCACCACACTGTCTTCTACAATGGCTGAAATAATTTACTCCCACCAACGGTGTTTAAGCCTTCCTTTTTCTCTGCAACCTTGCCAGCATCTGTTGTTTTTTGACTTTTTAATAATATCCATTCTGACTGGTGTGAGATGGTATCTCATTGTGGTTTTGATTTGCATTTCTCTAATGATCAGTGATGTTGAGCTTTTCTTTCATATGATTGTTGGCCACCTATATGTCTTCTTTTGAGAAGTGTCTGTTCATGTCCTTTGCCCACTTTTTAATGGGGTTGTTGTTTTTTTGTAAATTTGTTTAAGTTCCTTATAGATGCTGGATATTAGACTTTTGTCAGATGCATAGTTTGCAAAAATTTTCTCTTGTTCTGTAGGTTTTCTGTTCATTCTGATGATAGTTTTTTTCGCTATGCAGAAACTCTTTAGTTTAATTAGATCCCAACTTCCAATTTTTACTCTTGTTCCAATTGCTTTTAGCATCTTTGTCAGGAAATCTTTGCCTGTGCCTAAGTCCTGAATGGTATTGCCTACATTGTTTTCCAGGGTTTTATGGTTTTGGGTTTTACTTTTTTTTTTTTTTTTTTTTGAGACGGAGTCTCACTCTGTTGCCCAGGCTGGAGTGCAGTGGCACAATCTCGGCTCACTGCAAACTCCACCTCCCGGGTTCAAGCGATTTTTCTGCCCCAGCCTCCTGAGTAGCTGGGATTACAGGCATGTGCCACCATTCCCGGCTAATTTTTGTATTTTTAGTAGAGATGGGGTTTTGCCATGTTGGTCAGGGTGGTCTCGAACTCTTGACCTAGTGATCCACCAGCATTGGCCTCCCAAAGTGCTGGGATTACAGGCGTGAGCTGCTGCACCTGGCCTGGGTTTTACATTTAAGTCTTTAATCCATTTTGAGTTAATTTTTGTATATGGTGTAAGGAAGGGTTTCAGTTGTTTTCCTATAGCTAACCAGTTATTACAACACCATTTATTGAATAGGGAATCCTTTCCCCATTGCTTGTTTTTGTCAGGTTTGTGGAAGATCAGATAGTTGTCAGAGTGCGGTCTTATTTGTGGGTTTTAGATTCTGTTTCATTGGTCTATGTGTCTGTTTTTGTACCAGTACCATACTGTTTTGCTCACTATATCCCTGTAGTATAGTTTTAAGTTGGGTAGCGTGATGCCTCCAACTTTTCTTTCTGCTTAGGATTGCCGTGTCTGTTTGGGCTCTTTTTTGGTTCCATATGAATTTTAAAATAGTTTTCTCTAGTTCTGTGAAGAACATCAATTGTAGTTTAATAGGAATAGCATTGAATCTATATAAATTGCTTTGGTTAGTGTAGCCGTTTTATTGATACTGATTCTTCCTGTCCATGAGAATGGGATGTTTTTCCATTTGTTTGTGTCATCTCTGATATCTTTGATCAGTGGTTTGTAGTTCTCCTTGTAGAGATCTTTCGCCTCCCTACTTAGTTGTATTCCTAGGTTTTTAATTCTTTTTGTGGCAGTTGTGAATGGGAGTTCATTCTTGACTTGGCTCTCAGCTTGACTCTTGGTGTATAGGAATGCTAGTGATTTTTCCACGTTGGTTTTGTATTCTGAGACTTTGTTGAGGTTGTTAATTGGCTTAAGAAGCTTTTGGGCTGAGACTGTGGTATTTTCCAAATATAGTGTTATGTCATCTGCAAACAGGGATAGTTTGACTTCTTTTCTTGCTATTTGTTTGGCCTTTTGTTTTTTTCTCTTGCCTGATGGCCCTGGCCAGAACCTCCAATACTGTGTTGAATAGGGGTGGTGAGAGATGGCATCCTTGTCTTATGTTGGTTTTCAAGGTAATGCTTACAGGTTTTGCCCATTCATTATGATACTGGCTGTGAGTTTGTCATAGATGGTTCATATTATTTTGAGGTATGTTCCTTCAATACCTAGTTTTTTAAGAGTTTTTTTTTTTAAACATAAATCGATGTTGAATTTTATCAAAAGCCTTTTCTGCATCTGTTGAGATAATCATGTGGTTTTTGTCTTTAGTTCTGCTTATGTGCTGAATTACATTTATTGATTTGTGTATGTTGAACCAACCTTGCATCCTTAGGTTGAAGCCTACTTGATTATGGTGTATGAGCTTTTTGATGTGCTGCTGGATTCTGCTTGCCAGTGTTTTTGTTAGGGATTTTTGCATCAATTTCATCAAGGATATTGGTCTGACATTTTTTTTTATTGTATCTCTGCCAGGTTTTGGTGTCAGGATGATGCTGGCTTTATAGAATGAGTTAGGGAATAGTCCCTTCTCAATTTTTTGGAATAGTTTGAATGGGAATGGTAGCAGCTTTTCTTTGTATATCTGGTGGAATTCAGCTGTGAATTCATCTGGTCCTGGGCTTTTTTTGGTTGGCAGGCTTATTTTCTGTAATTTCTATAACAGTAGTGAACACCGTTGCTACTTTCCATCTCATTCCTATTTTGGGACCTTACAGACACCACTTCTAGGTCAATGATCAGAGGAAAGCCATGATTAGAAGGCCCACGTAGTCCTTCTCTTATAAAATAGTGACTGAAATACTTGTTTTTCTTATATTTGAAAGCTATAGTTGACTACTTGTTTTCAGTTTAGAGGAATTACATAGATTATAATATAGTTTTATATAACAGTGTTTTTATTACATAGATTATAGAATTCATGTTGGGGTAGAAGTAAATTTAAATAGACATGTGAATACTATGTCTTAAAAATATTTTATTAGTATTAAAATCTTCTGATAAGAATGCTAGTCCCTTAAACCACCCTTCCTCTTTGTTAAGTCATGATCACCAGAGGCAACAATTTTCAACTTTCTAAACTTTTCCTTTAATATGTATTTCCAAATAACAAGCTTCCATGGCTCTTTCTCAGTTTATGACTTTTAGATATTATTTAATCATTTCTTGTTATGGTAAATGATGATTTATAAGTTTTGATTAGACAGTATTGGTTATATATAGTTAAGAAGGTATTGTTTACTGCTCAGTCAAGTAGTGAACTGTAATAACGTTCTTTTTTGAGGATGGCTGTTTTTCTTGAAGTTAATAATTGGGTTTGCTCAGTTTTCTTTGTATGAATCAGCGTTTCTTCATCTATATGCTCCTATAAAATATCTCTTCCTACTCTCTTCTACAAAGACAGATTCATTGGATAGTTTATCAGTTCCATCTTTCTTTCTCCTCTATATTAATTCATTTTACCTGATATAAAGAACTACCTGAGGCTGGGTAATTTATGAAGAAAAGAGTTTTAATTGACTCACAGTTCTGCAGGCTTAACAGGAAACATGACTGGAAGGCCTCAGGAAACTTACAATCATGGTGGAAGGTTAAGGGGAATCAGACAGCTTCTTCACATGGCAGCAGGAGAGAGAGAGTGTGTGCAAGGGGGAAGTGCCACACACTTTTAAACCTACAGGACTTGTGAGAACTCATTCACTATCACAAGAGCAGCAAGGGAGAAATTTGCCCCTATGATCCAGTCACCTCCCCCCAGACCTCTCTTCCAATTTGACGTGAGATTTGGCGGGGACACAAATCCAAACCATATCATTCCACCCCTAACCCCTCCCAAATCTCATGTTCTTCTCGTATTGGAAAATACAATTATCCCTTCTCAACAGTCCTCCAGTCTTAACTAATTTCAGCATTAACTCAGAAGTCCACAGTTCAAAGTCTCATCTGAGACAGATAAGTCCCTTCTGCCTATGAGCCTGTAAAATCAAAAACAAGTTAGTTACTTCCAAGATACAGTGGGGGTACAGGCATTGAGTGAATGCTCCAAGTGGGAGAAATTGGCCAAAACACAAAGGCTACAGGCCCCATGCAAGTCTGAAACCTAGCAGGGCTGTCATTAAATCTTAAAGCTCTAAAATAATTTCCGTTGACTCCGTGTCTCATATCCAGGGCACACTGATGCATGGGTTGGGATCCTGAGGCCTTGGGTAGCTCCACCCCTGTGGCTCAGCAGGGTACAGCCCCCTAGACTGCTTCCACAGGCTGACATTGAGTACGTGTGGCTTTTTCAGGTGCACTATGCAAGCTGTCAGTGGGTCTCCTATTGTTGGGTCTGGGGGGTGGTGGCCCTCTTCTCACAGCTCTACTAGACAGTGCCCTGTATGGGGTTCTAACTCCACATTTCCTGTCTGCACTGCCCTAGTAGAGGTTCTCCATGAAGGCTCTACTCCTGCAGCAGACTTCTTCCTGGACAGCCAGGCATTTCCATACATTCTCTGAAATCTAGGCAGAGGTTTCAAAACCTCATCTCTTGCCTTCTGCACACCTGCAGGCCCAACACCACGTGGAAGCTTCAAGGCTTGGGCTTGCACCCTCTAAAGCAGTGGCCTGAGCTGTACCTTTGCCCCTTTTAGCCATGGCTGGAGCTGGAGCTGGAGCATCTGGGACACAGAGCACTAAGTCCCGAAGCTGCACAGAGCAGTGGGGCCCTGGGTCCGGCCTGTGAAGCCATTTTCCCCTCCTAGGCCTCCAGGCCTCTGACATGTGGGGCTGCAGTGAAGGTCTCTGACATGCCCTGGAGACATTTTTCCTGTTGTCTTGGTTATTAACATTCAGCTCCTTGTTACTTATGTACACTTCTGCAGCTGGCTTGAATTTCTCCCCAGAAAATGGGTTTTTGTTTTCTACTGCATGGTCAGGCTGCACATTTTCCAAACTTTGTGTTCTGTTTCCTCTTTTTTTTTTTTTGAGTTGTAGTTTTGCTCTTGTCGCCCAGGCTGGAGTGCAATGCAGTGATCTCGGCTCACTGCAATCTCCGCCTCCTGGGTTCAAGCAATTCTCCTGCCTCAGCCCCCCGAGTAGCTGGAATTACAGGTCCCTGCCACCACGCCTGGCTAATTTTTATATTTATAGTAGAGATGGGGATTCACCATATTGGCCAAGCTGGTCTCAAACTCCTGACCTCAGGTGATCTGCCCGCCTCAGCCTCCCAAAGTGCTGGGATTACAGGCGTGAGCCACTGTGCCTGGCCCTCTGTTTCCCTTTTAAACATATTCCAATTTCAAACCATCTCTTTGTGAATGCATGTAAGTGAATGCTTTCAGAATAAGCCAGGTCACATCTTGAATGCTTTGCTGGTTAGAAATTTCTTCCACCATAGTCTGGGTGTGCTGGGTCAGGCCTGTAATCCCAGCACTTTAGGAGGCCAAGGTGGGTGGATCACTTGAGATCAGGACTTAAGGACCAGCCTGGCCAACAGGGTGAGACCCCATCTCTACTAAAAACAGAAAAAATTAGCTGGGTGTGGTGGCGCACGCCTATAATCCCAGCTACCTGGGAGGCGGGAGAATCACTGGAACCTGGGAGGTGGAGGTTGCAGTGAGTTGAGATCATGCCATTACACTCCAGCCTAGGAGACAGAGTGAGACTTTGTGTCAAAAAAAAAAAAAAATTTCTTCCACCAGATACCCTAATTCATCTCTTTCAAGTTTAAAGTTTCACAGATCTCTAGGGCAGGGGCAAAATGCTTCCAGTTTCTTTTTGCTAAAGCATAGCAAGAGTGATCTTTACTCCAGTTGCCAATAAGTTCCTCATCTCCATCTGAGATCACCTCAGCCTGGACGTCATTGTCCATATCACTATCAGCAGTTTGATCAAAACCATTCAACAAGTCTCTGGGAAGTTCCAAACTTTCCCACATCTTACTGTCTTCTTCAGAGCCCTCCAAACTGTTCCAACCTCTGCCCCTTACCCAGTTCCAAAGTCGCTTCCACATTTTCAAGTGTCTTTATAGGAGTGTCCCACTCCTGGTACTGATTTTCTATATTAGTCAATTTTTCACACTGATATAAAGAACTACTTGAGACTGAGTAATTTGTGAAGAAAAGATGTTTAATTGACTCAGAGTTCTGCTGGCTTAACAGGAAGCATGACTGTGAGGCCTCAGGAAACTTACAATCATGGTGGAAGGCAAAGGGGGAAGCAAGCATCTTCTTCAGATGGTGGCAGGAGAGAGGGAGAAAGAGCGTGAGGGGGGATGTGCCACACACTTTTAAACCATGAGCTCTCATGAGAGCAGCAAGGGGGAAATCTGCTCCCATGCTCTGGTCACCTCTCACCAGGTCCCTCCTCCAATTCAACAGGAGATTTTGGCAGGGACACAAATCCAACCCATATCACCCTCTAAACCTAGAAATAATCTTAGTGTCTCTCCCATGTTTGATCTCCATATTCTAGATTCCATATCTTCTATTATGGTTTATTCTCTTTCTTTGGAGGAGGATATGCTTCAGTAGCTTCTTGAGAAAAGGTGCATTGAAGATAATTTAAAAAATCTTATAAAATAGTTAAACATGTTTTTTATTTATAACCATCTATTTGAATAATAGTGTAGTTGGCTATAGAATTCTGCATATAATTTATCTTACAATTTTGAAGGCTTTTTACCTTTTAGATTTCTGTGTTGCTGTTGAGAAGTTTTAATGCCCACATGATTTCTGTTTATCTCTGGAATCTCTTATCCCTGATGTTATCATGAAATTTCACTTTGACATGCCTCGTTGAAGGTCTTTTGATTTAATAGACTAGACACGTGTTGAGCCTTTTAAACCTGGCACCTGATGTCTTTCAGTTCTGGGAACTTTTTTGGTATTATTTCTTGGTTATTCCCCTTTGGTCCCTCACCCCCTTTCTTTTCTTTATTCTTATTTTCTGCAGTATGTCTCCCTTGATTGATTCACAAATTTTCTCATCTTTCCTATTTTCTACTTTGTCTTTTTATTCTACTTTGTAGAATTCCTGAACATTTTCTTTTTAAACTTCTGTTGAATTTTTATTTATTGCATTGTATTTTTGATTTCTCATTTCCTAAATATTTTCTACCCAACATCCTTTTATCATTCCATGGTATAATTTCTTTTCTGTTCGAGGTTATCAGTTACTTTTCTAATTTTTGTTGTTTTCTTTGGTTCCCTTTACTGTCTTTGTTATTCTGAGTTTCATTTTTCAGTTGTAATTTTTGTTTTTCAGGTTAGAGGCCTGCTTCAGTTGTATTTTTAATATTGTCTGTTCATTCATGTGTAATGGTGAGGCACTCAAATGTTGGCTGGAAGCGTTGTGTACATGAGTTGAGTTTGTTGACTACTTGGTTTGACTGTACACCAATGTTTCTTGGTCTCAACACTGTTGATATTTTGGATCTGATAATTCTTTGTTGTGGGGGCTGTCATCTGAATTTTAGGATATTTAGCTGCATCCCTGACCTCTACCCACTAGCTGCCAATAGCATTTTCCCTTCCCTGGTCATGAAAATAAAAAAGTTGCCTCATGTTCCCAGGGGAAAATTTAACCTTGGTTGGGGATGACTGCTATAGACCCATTGTCCCGAATTGGGCTGTTTCTTTATTTTTAATTTTTGTTTCTTTTTAGAGATAGGGTCTTGCTTTACAGATAGCGTCTTGCATGCAGCACCATGCATGGCTAATTTTAAAATTTTGTTGTGGAAATGGGATCTCTCTAAATTGCCTAGGCTGGTCTTGAACTCCTGGCCTTAAATGATCTTTCCACCTTGGTTTTCCAAAGTCTTAGAATTACAGGCATGAGCCACCATGTCTGGATGAACTGAGCTGTTTCACTGGGGACTTTCTAATGCCAATATCTGTAAGATTCTTTTCTGATGCAAGTCTTGAGAGGAAGCTTTTAATTCCTTCTACTTGAGATTTTTAAGCCTGCCTGCTGGATTTCTGGGAGCCTAGTTGGAACATGGAGGCTGGAGGTTTTCACTTAATTTGTTGTTTTCACGATGGCTCCTCATCTTTGCTCTACCTGTGTGTCTTGTCTCCCAGTCCAGAGCCTCCCTGTTCACTTTGTGCAGAGAATAAACTTCCCATCTTCTGAGACAGTGTAAAGAGGGATAGTAACTAACTGGATAGGATGGGAAGAAAGGTCCTAGGGGGAGAGTCTGTTTCTTCTATTGACTTTCAACTATTCCTCCTATTTTTAGCTCTACATAACCATTCCTATATTCCAAGGTACCTGGTACTTCCAATTCCTCTATTCCTTTTTTGTTTTCTTAATGTGTGTGTTCTGTAGTAAGAATTGAGTTGCTTATTGTTGGAATCCCCATTTGTGGGCAGTTAGACTTCAGCTTTCTTTGATCTGCTAAGTCAGTTACTATTTCTCCATTTGCTTGCTATCTTTCCAAAACTTACTGACTTATCCAGTATGCTGTTGTTTTCTTTCTTGTTCTTCCTTTGGGTGTTTAGTTTTATTATTTTACTGACATTGTACTTTGTTTAAAAGCGGCAAAAAAGATGAACAGATGTGTTCAATCCAGAAGTAATAAGCGTCTAATTTCAAACTATTTTGTTTTTTTTTAAGGCATGGGGTCTTTCTCTGTTGCCCAAGCTGGAGTGCAGTGGTGTAATATAATTCATAGTAGCCTTGAACTCCTGGGCTCAAATGATCCTCCCACCTCAGCCTCCTGAGTAGCTAGGCCTACTACTATGATGTGCTGCCATGACTAGCTCATTTTTTAATGTTTTTGTAAAAATGGGGTCTCACTATGTAGACTAAACTGGTCTCAAACTACTGGCCTCAAGCCACCTATTGCCTCATGTTTTATGTTTTTACATTTTCTTCCTTTTTGCAGGAAAAACTCAAATGAGGATTTTAGGAATAAAACCATGAAAGTTTTTTTTTTTAAAGGTTTTCAACTGGGCCCTGTCCTGTCCTTAATCAACAGATATGTATTTTTAAGATTTTATAGTAGCGTACTCTCTCTTAGTATGAGTCAAATGATTAGAGGAGTAGAGCTTAGGGGGCTAAGTATATATTAATGGCAATCAGTGAAATTGAGCCTGTATATGCTACTGTTAATAGCAAAAGGGCTTCTTAGCTTTTTAAAATTTTATATTTTAATAATTATGCTCTTGACTTTGGGAAAGTTATTATTCTGGTGCTTAGTTTTTTAGAGGTGAAAAATTCTGGTATTTAAAGCAATTTAAATTCAAGTATCTAAAGCAATAGGGTCCAATTCACTAGCCACATGTGGCTATTTAGATTCAAATGAGCTATAATTAAATACAATTAAAATTTTAGTTCCTTAGCTGTACTAGCCACATTTCAAGTACTTGGTAGCCAATATGTAACTACTGACTACTTTTGATACAGTGCTGCTCTAAAGACTCCCAGATTAACACAGTTTCTATTACACTGATAATTCCACATATATGTGTGTTGTGCCTGAGACACTTAGAGCTTACAAAAAGTTGAATTTGCTCAGCCATAGTAATTGTCACGTGCCCACTCAGTTCCTATGTAAAGCTTCAAGTTGTGGGAAGAACTTCCCTTATATGGATTAAAATTGTGGTAATTGTATCTTTTGTTTGATTCCTCTGGCTTTACTTTTAATTATTTTTTCCCCCTCAGACAGTGCAGTGCTTGCTAGACAGTGGTGCTGATATTAACAGGCCAAATGTATCAGGAGCAACTCCATTGTACTTTGCTTGCAGGTATGATATTTTATATTTCCAGATGCTATATATGCTCATATATATATATATATATATATATATGTATAAATAAAGAAATATATATATTTCCAGATGTATATAATACTCTATTTCTAGACACACACGTTTCTGTGTATTTTCTAAAGCTCTCTTGTTTTCCCACAAATATGCTGTCTTTTAAGAGGAAGTACAATCTCTTTTTTAAGATGAAGTGTTATGGTTCTATTACTTAACTGTATGAGGAAAAGTATTTTCTGTTATATTTAATTGCCATTGCTTTTATGTTACATGTGGAGCTTTTGATTTGCTTGATTACTTCAATTTTAGACTAAGTACTTATTAACAAAAGATAAATCAGTAATCTGGTAATTCCCATCGTTTACTGTGTTATGTAACCAGGTCATTTCCAGTGGGATAAGCTGTTGGAATATATCTTGATCCAGAGCCATGTCTTTTCTTTCTCTGTATCTATAACCAAAAAAAAATCTTGAGTCAGTCTTGTTAGATATTGTTATACATTAAGTTATTTTTGTATTTCTTTATTGGTTCATTTTCTTGACGTGTACATTTTGTTCACTTATTCATGTATTCGGCAAATGTTTAGTTAACGCTCACTGTGTCATGCATTGTTGTAGGTGTGTAATACAGTAATAAATAAACTCTATTCCCTAAGGAGCTATCAGTATAATTATACACATGCCGTCACACCCACACCCACACACATATGTAAAAATATATACACACCTACATATTATGTATTATGTAAATGTAGTTATAGAATACTATAGTAATTCTTCTTTTTGATTTAAATTATATGAATTGTAATATTTATTTAGGCCTTCATATTCCGATATAGAGCTCTCCAGAAAGCTCCTCTCTTCTTCTTTTTTTCTGTTTTATATCATTTTATTGGAAGTTGGTTTTAGGTTGAAAGACCTGCTTTTTTTCTTGTTTAGCTTCTTGTTGGGGTCTCTGATGTGCCTTTGATGAGACCAATTCAGATCATCTATTTAACAACCCTGTATTAGAATTCAGGGGCTTCTGGGTTTCTAGACTTCCAGATCTTTCTGATTCCAGCCATTTTCTTGCATTATATTTATGATTTGGTTGCTTGGCTAGAAAACCAGTTCTTTCCATAGTGTCCTGAATTTATGAATAATATCATCATTTGATTCCCTGTAATCATGTTGTATCTTGAAGGGTTATCTTTAGATCAGACCTTTTTTGAACCTCCAGATTTGAATGTCCATCTGCCTGTTTAACATCATCACTTAGAAGTACCACAGAATCTCACATATTAACATGTCAAAATACAGCTTCAGATTTTCTTCCTCAAACCTTTCCCCCAGTTTTTCCTCATCTTAATCAATAGAAACCTTATTGTCTCAGTTGTTTAAATTAGAAATAATTAGGTTATTTTTTATTTCTCTCTCTCTCTCTTTGTGAACTTGGAATTTATTAGTAAGTTCTGTAAATTCTACCTTCAGAATATGTTCGGAATCTGAACTTCTAACTCAACCAAAACCACCTTAATGTTGTTACCTTTTGCCTAGAGTACTGCAGTAATCTCTTCACTGGTCTCCCTGATTCCTATGTTGTTTCCCTCCAATCTCTTCTTTCCTCAGCAAAGTGATCTTAAAAAAAAAAAAAAAAAAGAATCTGCTCTTGTTACTTTGTGTTTAAGCCTTGTATATAAAACTTTTCAGTGCCTCGTTGTTACATTTTAAATATAATTCAAGTTCTACCTTGGCCTGTGAGACCTCCATGATTTCACTCCTGTTTAGCTCACTGTACTTGAACCACAGTGATTCTCTTTGCGTTCCTTAAATGCAACCAACTCTTTCAGCAGGCTTTTCTACATGGTATTTGTTTTGCCTGAAATGTTCTTCCTTAGGCTTTTTACAGGGCTATTTCTTATTCATGTTACTGCTTAATTAAGTAACTTTTTAGGAAGGCAGTTCCTGACCAATCTAAGCAGGTCGTTCCCCAGATTTTTGATCGCAGTATCACAGTCATTTCCTTCATAGCACTTCCTATTCTGTAGTTGTTTATTTACTTTCTTATAGTCTGTCTCCCCTACATGCCTAAAAATTCAGTGAAAGCAAGAATAGTGTTTATTTTACCACTTTATGTCCAAAGTGTAGTACAGTGTTTTGCACTTAGATGCATAGTAGATGTTTTTGAATGAATGCATCACTATGAAAAATATCTTATAAAAAACAATGCCATTTATAATAGTTAAAATAGAGACATGTTAGTGTTGTGCAGAACTGGGATATCCCTATGGTTAGTCTGAGCTTAGGGATATGGCAGAAGGATTTTTAAGAAATACTTTCTCCTAGTACTGTATTCCCATCATTTAGTTTTAATCTAGCAAATATTAGATCTTTTTGAACAAAGATGGTTAAGCAAGTCTGTGATGAAATGTGAAACCAAAAAATCATTGTTGTAGAAGAATAATAGATATGGAACATGGTTCTTCTGCAGGCACACTTTTAATTTTACTTGTGATATCTTGATACAGGTATAAATTAAAAATATAAGTTATTCCCAATGTGTTATTTCTGATAAATGAAAGGGAAAGGAATATAGGAAATAGAACAAGTTAACCCCAGGACAAATTATAGGGCTCTAAGATAAAGGTTAAATGGAATGTATAGTTTTTATTGGTTGATAAGTATTACTAGATATAATATATTATATCATATTCAAGGGTCAACTACTGAAACTGTTTTCTTTGTATTTGAATTTTGCAATTAAATTTAGAATGGTATTAAGATACAGGGGAAAGAACCTAGTTTGTGTAGGCAGGTTCAAATCCCAGCACCAGAGCTATACAACATTAGTCAAAATTCTTGATCCCTGAAGCTTTGTTTGTTTGTGAAATGGAAGTGCTGATATCTGCCTGGTGAGATTATTGTGAAGATTAAATGTGATGGCTTCTATAAAGCATGCTGCAGAGTATTCAACACTTAGTAGTTGATAGGTGCTCACTAAGTTCTGACATACTTCTTTCACTCTTCAGTGAGCATAAAGTCGTGTTGTCCTCATTTAATTTAATTGCTCTACAGGGTTTTCTTTTGTTTCTTGTCTAATTCTAAGCACTTTTTTTTTTTTTAATTTTTGAGACAGAGCCTCAATCTGTTGCCCAGGGTGGAGTGCAGTGGCGTGATCTTGGCTCACTGCAATCTCTGCCTCCTGGCTTCAAGCGATTCTCCTGCCTCTGCCTCCCGAGTAGCTGGCATTACAGGCATGCGCCACCACACCCAGCTAATTTTTATATTTTAGTAGAGATGGCGTTTTGCCATGTTGCCTGGGCTGGTCTCGAACTCCCGACCTCAGGTGATCTGGCTGTCTCATCCTCCCAAAGTGCTGGGATTACAGACGTGAGCCACCGTGCCTGGCCCTGGGCACTGTTTTATAATGTAGTGTTTCTGTGAGTCTTTTTCAGATGGATTTTGACCTAAAATTATGATAGAAAGGGTTTTCCAGCCAGTTTTCTTCTCTGGATACTCTGGACAGGACATTATAACTCATGTAAACTATATAACTAATTAACTCATTCCTTCTGTCATGTAAAATATAGGCACACATTGATTTTTTTTTCCCCCTGCCATCTTTACACACCTTTAAGTCTTTTATATGACTTCTACCAATATTTCAAATCCTGAAATTATTAGATTGGTTTTATATTCAATCCTTATGTTCTCAGTTCCTTCAACTGAGTTCTTCAAATAAAGGTTGGGATGTATAATGGTTTTCAGGTATTTTCTGTTTGTAGATAACTTTTATTCTATTAGGAAAAGCAAGGTTTAGTTAGAGTTGTATAGATACAGTAAATTAGTAAGATGTTAATGGAGTTTTAGAGGTCTCTACTAGAGACAGAAAGGGCTAAGATTTAGAACATGGATTTGTAGCTACTGCGAAGCAACTCGTTTCAGTTAGAGTATTCAAAATCAAAGTAGCCATATAAAAGAGTTCTTAGACTTGGCCAGGCACAGTGGCTCACACCTGTAATCCCAGCACTTTGGGAGGCTGAGGCGGGTGGATCACGAGGTCAAGAGATTGAGACCATCCTGGCCAACATGGTGAAACCCCGTCTCTACTAAAAATACAAAAATTAGCTGGGCATTGTGGCGCACGCCTGTAGTCTCAGCTACTCCAGAGGCTGAGGCAGGAGAATCACTTGAATCTGAAAGGCGGAGGTTGCAGTGAGCCGAGATTGCACCACTGCACTCCAGCCTGGGCAACAGAGTGAGACTCCATCTCAAGAAAAAAAAAAAAAAAAAAAGAATTCTTACACTTAAAATTGTAAACTTTCAGCATAGGAACGGACCTTTAGAAAATATGATCTGTTTCATACGCCATTCCCAATAATATTACAACTGTCTGGACTATTTATACTTATGCCAAATTCTCAAATTTATAAGGATGAAAGAGTCCAAAGTTAGGGGGCCGAAAGTGTTTGAGAAATCAGGTCTAAGTGCTTTAGAAGCCACCACAAGTTTCTTATTAGTTAAATTTTTGTTGACTTCTTAGTTTTCATAAAATACATTGGCAATTTCTTGAAGAGAGTATTATCTCAATCAATATTAAAAAATTGAGACTATCTCAAAAACAACTTCATTTATAAAGAATGATTATTTGTTGAGTAATTTTTTTTAGTTATTTAAACTGAAAAATCTTTTATGCAACACTCTGAGCAGTCTGAAAGAGGATCGTTGTAATTGAATTACAGGTGAGGCACTTGAGCCCCTAACTGCGTTGTGCAGATTTTGTATGTTATTAGCTATTTATTGTTTTTAAATCTATTTAAAAAATTATTCTTATTTTAAATTATTAGTTTTTAGAGACAGGGTCTTGTTCTGCCACCCAGGCTGGAGTGCAGTGGCGTGATCATAACTCACTGCAACCTCCAACTCCTTGGGTCAAGCAATTCTCTCATCTCAGCCTCCCAAGTAGCTGGGACTATAGATGTGCACCACCATACTGAACTAATTTTTCAATTTTTATTTTTAATAAAGTCAAGGTATGTCATCCAAGCGGGTCTTCAACGCCTGGCCTCAAGTGATTCTCCAGTCTAAGCCTCCCAAAGTGCTGAGATTACAGATGTGAGCCACGACACCTGGCCCTTAATCTGTTTTTGAAATGAAATGCCAACTGAACATAAATGAGATTTCTGTGTGGTTTTAGAAATTACTCCAGCTTTCTAAAAATGTTATAGTAGTATTTCTTTTTCTTCATGCTGATTATCCTTTTTTGTTATATATGGTACAGAGTTATTTTGAGGCTTTATTATTTACCTTGTGTATTGAACATTGTCCTGCTTATACATGGTGATCTTGTCTGTTCATCCTGTCTGATCCCCAGTCCATTGTTCTCATAGCACATATCCTCCTGTGTATGATACCATAATTTTTTTGAGTACTAAATTGTTTTTTTTTGTTTTATTATTATTATACTTTTAAGTTCCAGGGTACATGTGCACAACGTGCGGGTTTGTTACATAGGTATACATGTGCCATGTTGGTTTGCTGCACCCATCAACTCGTCATTTACATTAGGTGTTTCTCCTAATGCTATCCCTCCCCCAGCCCCCTGACTTCCCGACAAGCCCTGGTGTGTGATGTTCGCTGCCCTGTGTCCAAGTGTTCTCATTGTTCAATTCCCACCTATGAGTGAGAACATGCGGTGTTTAGTTTTCTGTCCTTGGGATGGTTTGCTGAGAATGATGGTTTCCAGCTTCATTTGTGTCCCTGCAAAGGACATGAACTCCTCCTTTTTTATGGCTGCATAGTATTCCATGGTGTATCTGTGCCACATTTTCTTAATCCAGTCTATCACGGATGGACATTTGGGTTGGTTGCAAGTCTTTGCTATTGTGAATAGTACTGCAATAAACATATGTATCCATGTGTCTTTATAGTAGCATGATTTATAATCCATTGGGTATATACCCAGTAATGGGATGGCTGGGTCAAATGTATTTCTAGTTATAGATCCTGGAGGAATCACCACACTGTCTTCCACAATGATTGAACTAATTTACACTCCCACCAACAGTGTAAAAGCATTCCTATTTCTCCACATCCTCTCCAGCACTTGTTGTTTCTTGACTTCTTAATGATCGCCATTCTAACTGGCGTGAGATGGTATCTCACTGTGGTTTTGATTTGCATTTCTCTAATGACCAGTGACGATGAGCATTTTTTCATGTCTGTTGGTTGCATAATTGTCTTCTTTTGAGAAGTGTCTGTTCATATCCTTTGCCCAATTTTGATGGGGTTGTTTGTTTTTTCTTGTAAATTTGTTTGAATTCATTGTAGATTCTGGATATTAGCCCTTTGTCAGATGAGTAGATTGCAAAAATTCTCTCCCATTCTGTAGGTTGCCTGTTCACTCTGATGGTAGTTTCTTTTGCTGTGCAGAAGCTCTTTAGTTTAATTAGATCCCATTTGTCTGTTTTGGCTTTTGTTGCCATTGCATTTGGTGTTTTAGTCATGAAGTCTTTACACATGCCTATGTCTTGAATGGTACTGCCTAGGTTTTCTTCTAGGGTTTTTATGGCTTTAGGTCTTACATTTAAGTTTTTAATCCATCCTGAATTAATTTTTGTATAAGGTGTAAGGAAGGGATCCAGTTTCAGCTTTCTACATATGGCTAGCCAGTTTTCCCAGCACCATTTATCAAATAGGGAATCCTTTCCCTATTTCTTGTTGTCAGGTTTGTCAAAGATCAGATGGTTATAGATGTGTGGTGTTACTTCTGAGGGCTCTATTCTGTTCCATTGGTCTATATCTCTTGGTACCAGTACCATGCTGTTTTGGTTACTGTAGCCTTGTAGTATAGTTTGAAGTCAGGTAGCATGATGCTGCCAGCTTTGTTCTTTTTGCTTAGGATTGTCTTGGCAATGAGGGCACTTTTTTGGTTCCATATGAACTTTAAAGTAGTTTTTTCCAATTCTGTGAAGAAAGTCATTGGTTGCTTGATGGGGATGGCATTGAATCTGTAAATTACCTTGGGCAGTATGGCCATTTTCACGATATTGATTCTTCCTATCCATGAGCATAGAATGTTCTTCCATTTGTTTGTGTCCTCTTTTATTTGGTTGAGCAGTGGTTTGTAGTTCTCCTTGAAGAGGTCCTTCACATCCCTTGTAAGTTGGATTCCTAGGTATTTTATTCTCTTTGAAGCAATTGTGAATGGGAGTTCACTCATGATTTGGCTCTCTGTTTGTCTGTTATTGGTGTATAAGAATGCTTGTGATTTTTGCCCATTGATTTTGTATCCTGAGACTTTGCTGAAGTTGCTTATCAGCTTAAGGAGATTTTGGGCTGAGACGATGTGGTTTTCTAAATATACAATCATGTCATCTGCAAACAGGGACAGTTTGACTTCCTCTTTTCCTAATTGAATACTGTTATTTCTTTCTCTTGCCTGATTGCCCTGGCTAGAACTTCCAACACTACATTGAATAGGAGTGGTGAGAGACGGCATCCTTCTCTTGTGTCGGTTTTCAAAGGGAATGCTTCCAGTTTTTGCCCATTCAGTATGATATTGGCTGTGGGTTTGTCATAAATAGCTCTTATTATTTTGAGATACGTTCCATCAATACCTAGTTTATTGAGAGTTTCTAGCATGAAGGGCTGTTGAATTTTGTCGAAGGCCTTTTCTGCATCTATTGAGATAATCATGTGGTTTTTGCCGTTGGTTCTTTTTATGTGATGGATTGCGTTTATTGATTTGCATATGTTGAGCCAGCCTTGCATCCCAGGGATGAAGCCGACTTGATCGTGGTGGATAAGCTTTTTGATATGCTGCTGCATTTGGTTTTCTGGTATTTTATTGAGGATTTTTGCATCAATGTTCATCAAGGATATTGGTCTAAAATTCTCTTTTTTTGTTGTGTCTCTGCCAGGCTTTGGTATCAGGATGATGCTGTCCTCATAAAATGAGTTAGGGAGGATTCCCTCTTTTTCTATTGATTGGAATAGTTTCAGAAGGAATGGTATCAGCCATTCAGAGGAATGGTACCAGCTCCTTTTTGTACCTCTGGTAGAATTCGGCTGTGAATCCGTCTGTTCCTGGACTTTTTTTGGTTGGTAGGCTATTAATTATTGCCTCAATTTCAGAGCCTATTATTGGTGTGTTCAGAGATTCAACTTCTTCCTGGTTTAGTCCAATTTATTCGTTTCTTCTGGATTTTCTAGTTTATTTGCATAGAGGTGTTTATAGTATTCTCTGATGGTAGTTTGTATTTCTGTAGGATTGGTGGTGATACCCCCTTTATCACTTCTTATTGTGTCTGTTTGATTCTTCTCTCTCTTCTTCTTTATTAGTCTTGCTAGCAGTGTAGCCATTTTGTTGCTGTGTTCAAAAAACCAGCTCCTGGATTCATTGATTTTTTGAAGGGTTTTTTGTGTCTCTATTTCCTTCAGTTCTGCTCTGATCTTAGTTATTTCTTGCCTTCTGCTAGCTTTTGAATGTGTTTGCTCTTGCTTCTCTAGTTCTTTTAATTGTGCTGTTAGGGTGTCGATTTTAGATCTTTCTGCTTTCTCTTGTGGGCATTTAGTGCTATAAATTTCCCTCTACACACTGCTTTAAATGTGTCCCAGAGATTCTGGTATGTTGTGTCTTTGTTCTCATTGGTTTCAAAGAACATCTTTATTTCTGCCTTCATTTCGTTATTTACCCAATAGTCATTCAGGAGCAGGTTGTTCAGTTTCCATGTAGTTGTGCAGTCTTGAATGAGTTTGTTAATCCTGAGTTCTAGTTTGATTGCACTGTGCTCTGAGAGACAGTTTGTGATTTCTGTTCTTTTACATTTGCTGAGGAGTGCTTTACTTCGAATTATGTGGTCAATTTTAGAATAAGTGTGATGTCGTGCTGAGAAGAATGTATATTCTGTTGATTTGGGGTGGAGAGTTCTGTAGATGTCTATTAGGTCCACTTGGTCCAGAGCTGAGTTCAATTCCTGGATATCCTTGTTAGCCTTCTGTCATGTTGATCTGTCTATTATTGACAGTGGGGTGTTTAAGTCTCCCATTATTATTGTGTGGGAGTCTAAGTCTCTTTGTATGTCTCTAAGGACTTGCTTTATGAGTCTGCGTGCTCCTGTGTTGAGTGCATATATATTTAGGATAGTTAGCTCTTCTTGTTGCATTGATTCCTTTACCATTATGTAATGTCCTTCCTTGTCTGTTTTGATCTTCCTTCGTCTAACGTCTGTTTTATCAGAGACCTGGATTGCAACCCCTGCTTTTTTTTTTTTTTTTTTGGCTTTTCGTTTGCTTGGTAGATCTTCCTCTATCCCTTTATTTTGAGCCTATGTGTGTTTCTGCAGGTGAGATGGGTCTCCTGAATACAGCACACTGATGGGTCTTGACTCTTTATCCAGTTTACCAGTCTGTCTTTTAATTGGGGCATTTAGCCCATTTACATTTAAGGTTAATATTGTTATGTGTGAATTTGATCCTGTCATTATGTTAGCTGGTTATCTTGCCCGTTAATTGATGCAGTTTCTTCATAGCATTGATGGTCTTCACAATTTGGCATGTTTTTGCCATGGCTGGTACCTTTCCATGTTTAGTGCTTCCTTCAGGAGGAGCTCTTGTAAGGCAGGCCTGGTGGTGACAAAATCTCTCGGCATTTGCATGTCTGTAAAGGATTTTATTTCTCCTTCACTTGTGAAGCTTAGTTTGGCTGGATATGAAATTCTGAGTTGAAAATTATTTTCTTTAAGAATGTCAAATATTAGCCCCCACTCTCTTCTGGCTTGTAGAGTTTCTGCCGAGAGATCCGCTGTTAGTCTGATGGGCTTCCCTTTGTGGGTAACTGACCTTTCTCTCTGACTGCCCTTAATATTTTTTCCTTCATTTCAACCTTGATAAATCTGACAGTTATGTGTCTTGGGGTTGCTCTTCTTGAGGAGCATCTTTGTGGCGTTCTCTGTATTTCCTGAATTTGAATGTTGGCTTGCCTTGCTAGGTTGGGGAAGTCCTCCTGGATAATATCCTAAAGAGTGTTTTCCAACTTGGTTCCATTCTCCCTGACACTTTCAGGTACACCAATCAAACATAGATTGGTCTTTTCACATAGTCCCATATTTCTTGGAGGCTTTGTTCATTTCTTTTTGCTCTTTTTTTCTCTAATCTTGTCTTTTCACTTTATGTCATTAATTTGATCTTCAATCACTGATATCCTTTCTTCCACTTGATCGAATCGGCTATTGAAGCTTGTGCATGCATTATGAAGTTCTCTAGCCATGGTTTTCAGCTCCATCAGGTCATTTAAGATCTTCTCTACACTATTTATTCCAGTTAGCCATTCGTCTAACCTTTTTTCAAGGTTTTTAGCTTCCTTGTGATGGGTTAGAACATCCTCCTTTAGCTCGGAGAAGTTGTTATTACCAGCCTTCTGAAGCCTACTTCTGTGAACTCGTCAAAGTCATTCTCCATCCAACTTTGTTCCATTGCTGGCAAGGAGCTGTGAGCAGTTGGAGGAGAAGAGGTGCTCTGGTTTTTAGAATTTTCGGCTTTTCTGCTCTGGTTTCTCTCCATCTTTGTGGTTTTGTCTACCTTTGGTCTTTGATGTTGGTTACCTACAGATTAAGTTTTGTTGTGGATGTCCTTTTTGTTGATGTTGATGCTACTCCTTTCTTAGTTTTCCTTCTAACAGTCAGGTCCCTCAGCTGCAGGTCTGTTGGAGTTTCCTGGAGGTCCATTCCAGACCCTGTTTGCCTGGGTATCACCAGCAGAGGCTGCAGAACAGCAAATATTGCTGCCTGTTCCTTCCTCTGGAAGCTTCATCCCAGAGGGGCACCCGCCTATATGAGGTGTCTGTTGCCCCTACTAGGAGGTGTCTCCTAGTTAGGCTACACAGGGGTCAGGGACCCACTTGAGGAGGCAGTCTGTCCGTTCTCAGAGCTCAAAGGCTGTGGTGGGAGAACCACTGCTCTCTTCTGAGCTGTCAGACAGTGACATTTCAGTCTGCAGAAGTTATCTGCTGCCTTTTTTTCAGCTATGCCCTGCCCACAGAAGTGGAGTCTATGGAGGCAGTAGGCCTTGCTGAGCTGCAGTGGGCTCCGCCTAGTTTGAGCTTCCCTGTCGCTTTGTTTACCTACTCAAGCCCCAGTAATGGCAGATGCCCCTACCCCCGCCAGGCTGCATGCAGCCTGGCAGGACTATCTCAGACTGCTGCGCTAGCAGTGAGGAAGGCTCTGTGGGCATGGGACCCGCTGAGCCAGGCACGGGATGGAATCTCCTGGTGTGTCGTTTACTAAGACCTTGGGAAAAGCGCCGTATTTTGGCAGGAGTGTCCCGTTTTTCCAGGTAGTCTGTCACGGCTTCCCTTGGCTAGGAAAGGGAAATCCCCTGACCCCTTGAGCTTCCCAAGTGAGGTGCTCACCCTCCGTGGGCTGCACCTACTGTCCAACCAGTCCCAATGAGATCGACCAGGTACCTCATTTGGAAATGCAGAAATCACCCGTCTTCTGTGTCAGTCATGCTAGGAGCTGCAGACCGGAGCTGTTCATATTCGGCCATCTTGGAATGGGAGTCTTGAGACTAAATTGTTTACTTTTAAAGGTTATAAAACATAAAGGGCAATCTCTGTTTATCTTGCTAGAGCAGCATGATATTGTTGAAGGATTTTGGAGTCAGACTGATGCAGATTCAAATTCTGGTCTGCCATGTAACTGTTCATCTCGAGCAACTCCATTATACTCTTGAGCCATGGTTTTCTCATCTGAAAAATTGGGTGAATACTGTTAAAATAAAAATCTTAGAAAAAATAAATTTAAAGTTTATTTAAATGAAAAACAATTCATGAATCAGGCAGCACTCAGAATCAGAAGCGGGTGAGAGAGCTCTTCCCAGCAATTTGTAAGTAATGAGCTTTTGTAGGCTGAATATGGAAGCAAAGTAGAGAAATCACCCAACTGACTACCCTTATGTGTGTGTTTGCCTAATTTGGTCATGGTGTGAAGAATTGGCTGTCTGATTCATTGAAACTGCTCTTTGTTGCAAAATATATACTCCCAAGTTAGGTTGAAGTTTGTTACAGAGGAACTCAAAAGTATAGTGACAGTCTCAGGCTAATGGCCTCCTGTTTGCTTAATTTAACAATGCTTATAACAGTGTCACCGTTAAGTCAGACTTTGCACAGAGGATTGAGCATAATGCTTGTTACCTAGTATATCCTAAATAAATTGTGTTTCAGGTCTCTTGTTATTTTCTAGAGTGCAGCGTTGTCTTTAATACTTATTTGTCAAATGAATGGTGTCTGAAATTAAAGCCTATAATACAATTCATTGAATGTATTGAGTACATGCTATAAGACAACTGCCATGCTTGGTGCTATGGAACAAGCCTACTGTCAGGAAGTTTACAATTTAATTGGAAAAAATTGGACACATGGATATTAAAGAACTGTAAAAGAGATATCATTAAAATTGAACTCAGCAGTTTTATAAGATGGATTCCTCAGAACCTTGGCTACTAGCAAAAGTATCACTATATCCCTAAATAAATTAAGCTCAAGTTAGTTGCTTTTCACTTGGCCTCTATTTTTAGGCGTGTTAAAGAATGGAACAGTGTAAATGAAACATTAACCACTGTTAGCTATTGTTTATAACATCTTGACCAACACTTTGAGCTTAATGACAAGTGATGCTTGATGAGGACTTCTTGCTTGATGCCGGTAAAGCTGATTATTGTTGCTTTCAAAGGGATTGCTAATTTATTTTTTGATTTTTCTAGAATAAATTAGATATTATTCTTAAGTTAGGGCTTATTGGTATTAAGGAAGATAATCAGTATAATAATAAAGTATCAAGAGAGTGATAGACCTATAATAACGTTGCAGAGTTTTCTGGCACTAGATTCGTAGTAGGATACTATTAAGTTTTTTTTAAAAAAACTTTAATTCCAATTGGTTTTAAATTATTCTTCATACAGTGCCGTTTTGTGAAAGAGAATGAATAGTGTTTTGTTTTTTAAGTTTCTGAGAAATCTGTGTAGTGTTTTTCTTTGTGAAATGACATGCCTCTTTAGGTAATGTTATTGTGGAAAGAGTATAGGTCTAGAAGCCCAGGTACCTGAGTTCTAGTTTCACCTGTGCTTAGATTACTTGCTTTTCTCATCTACAGAGTTCTTTTTGGATTCATGCTCTTCCAAACTGTACAACTTATTTGGGCATTTCTTTTCTTCTCTTTTCTTTCTTTCTTTCTTTTTTTTTTTTTTCGAGACGGGGTTTTGCTCTTGTTACCCAGGCTGGAGTGCAGTGGGGCATTCTTGGCTCACTGCAACTTCTGCCTCCCGGGTTCAAGTGATTCTCCTGCCTTAGCCTCCCAAGTAGCTGGGATTACAGGCACCGGCTACCATGCCCAGCTAATTTTGTATTTTTAATAGAGACAGGGTTTCACCATGTTGGCCAGGCTGGTCTGGAACTCCTGACCTCAGGTGATCCACCTACCCCGGCCTCTCAAAGTGCTGGGATTACAGGTGTGAGCCACCATGCCTGGCCCTGGGCATTTCTTAAGAATCAGCTGTTAACATTAATTTCCCTGGAGTGATAGTTACACAATTCTACTTCTACAAGAAGGAGGGCAATCAGGGAATGAGGCATATGGATAGGAGAGTTCATTCTAGGGCAGATTGAATACCTATCTGCAGAAGCCAAACTGAGTGGGTTGATAAAATGAAGATCGAAAGCTAGATAGTATTTTTGGCTAATAACCCCACTTCATGTTCCCTTTTTCCCCAGATTCTCTTACATTGGTTTTACTTTTCTCCTTCCTTCCTTTTAATTTTTTTTTTTTTTACAAAGTATTACAAGTGTGCCATAAAATGTACTTTTGTTCTGACTCTTGAGGTTCTTTTGGATTAAGAAGCCTAGAGACTTGGATGTGTGTGGTAGGAAGAAGGTCAGGCTAAAGTTGCAAATGGTCAAGTTAAGGTGGAGAGAGGGATTAGGAAGTGAATGTAAGAAAAAAAAAAAAAGCAGAAGCCTGACTAGTAGTTACTTATCCCCAAAATATTATGACTTATTTTAGGAAATGTGACACAAATTCAGTTCTAAAATTTAATAGGTCACATTCTGGTCTACGTAGTGAAAGCATGGCTTAACATTGAGAAAGTTTTTGTGATTATGAAGATGTATTTCATATTCTCTTGTCTTAATTTTTAAAAGTGATACTCTTCCATTGACTCATATTAACTATCCATAATTCATAGAGAAAGACTTTAAAAAGATTGTATTTTTAACTTGTTTCTATTTCCACACAGTCATGGTCAGAGAGATACAGCACAGATCCTACTATTACGAGGAGCCAAATATCTGCCAGATAAAAATGGAGTAACTCCTCTGGATTTATGTGTACAGGTGTGTTTTTCATTTATATTCTGAGCCCCTTATCTTTATAATAGAAACTGGAATGGTAAAAATTATTATTTTTTCAATGAAAGGGTAGGTGCAAAGATTTTTATTGTGTGAAGAATATGAACTTTAAAAGGGACTGTTTTTAAACCTGGATAATTTTAGATCTTGTTTTTAGGGTGGATATGGAGAGACTTGTGAAGTATTAATTCAATATCACCCGAGGCTTTTTCAGACTATTATTCAAATGACACAGAATGAAGACCTCCGAGAAAACATGGTATTGTATTTGTGATAGTAGCTTGTAAATGAAGAAGCTTTATTCCTGCTCAGCATATATGACATTTTACAAATGTGCTTAGCTTAGTAATTTTGCTTATTGTCACAAATATCTTAATAATTAGCTTATCTGCATTATAGGATAAGTGTGAATTAGATAATAATTAATATAGTTTTTGCTAATATTTGGCCATATAAATCTTCTGCCCTCTGGGTCTTTGGTCTCTCCTTAAGATAACTAGAATAGGCTGGGCGTGGTATCTCACGCCTGTAATTCCAGCACTTTGGGAGGCTGAGGTGGGTGGATTGCTTGAGCCCAGGAGTTTGAGACTAGCTTGGGCAACAAAGACCCAGTCTCTTAAAAACAAATTACAAAAATTAGCTAAGTGTAGTGGCATGCATCTGTAGTCTGAGCTACTTGGGAGGCTGAGCTGGGAGGAGGGATTGAGCCCAGGAGGTTGAGCCTGCAGTGAGCCGAGATCATGTCACTGCCCACTACACTCTAGCCTGGGCGATACAGTGATGCTCTATCTTTAAAAAAATAAAAATAAAAATAAAATAATAATATTCCCATGGCAAGAGGAAAAGACTCTGTGGAGGAATATCATTATGATTGGTAATCACTAGTTTACTCAGCTATGTGTTTGTGATAGTTTTAGTCTTAGAAAAATTGCGGAATTTAAATTTCTCTTTCGTTTTAGAGGTTTAGAATTAAATTTCCAAAACTATACTTGGTGATTTTTAAATTCTATCTATATTTACTATTGTTTTGTAACTGGGTGATTTTCAACAAAGATTTTATTATGTATCATCATATCTCTATATTAGCTTTTAAACTTATGCAAGACAAAATAACTAAAGGACTTGATTTAGACTAATTGGCTTTAAGATACTTAATAGGTACTTAATTGTTTGATAAGATTTAATGGATTACTATGTAATCACATTTTTTTATTTGTAAAAAATTTAGTTACGGCAAGTTCTGGAGCATTTGTCTCAGCAAAGTGAAAGCCAGTACCTAAAGATTCTAACAAGCCTTGCTGAAGTTGCTACAACAAATGGTCATAAACTGCTTAGGTAAGTGTTTCGCAATAAGAGGAAATCAATAGGTAGCAGTGTCTGTTGGCTTCACCTCCTGAGTAGTTTATTCTGTGGGATACCTTTTGTCAGTGATAACGATGTTATAAAAATTTGCTGACTTCTGGTTTGTTTTGTTTGAAAGGACCAGGGTAATCAACTATTGCTAAAGAGATTTTAGTCTCTCTAAAGAGACTAAAAATAGAGCATACTTCAGTGAATTTGGGCATATGTGTCTAGAATTTTGTGAAATGATTACTTACCTAGACATATAAGTAAATGTACATGAAGAAGAATTGAGAAAGTTCAGGAATCTTGACCACTAATTAATAAAATAAAATTAGGTACAAGCTACTGTTTAACCTTTCATTGTACTTTCATGACTCCTTATAAAGTTTTTTTCTCTGACCTGTCCCCCTCAGTTAAGTTCTTTATTATTTCTAAAAGATCCTGTGGTTTTATCATCACTAAGTTCGTGGAGTTAATGCCTTATATTACTTGAATTTATATATGAAGTGTTTTCCTGTAGCTACACTTCTTTCTATGTGGCTGGCTACCCCAATTAGGAATAAGCAGCCACTGAGAAATGATTATTGTCTTATTATTTCTTAGCCTGCAAGAAATTGTATATATGTATACACACACACACACACATATATACAATTATTTTTTTTTTTTTGAGACAGAGTCTCGCTCTCACTCTGTTACCCAGGCAGCACAATCTTGGCTCACTGCAACCTCCACCTCCCAGGTTCAAGCAATTCTCCTGCCTCAGCCTCCCAAGTAGCTGGGATTACAGGCACACACCACCACGCCCGGCTAATTTTTTGTATTTTCAGTAGAGATGGGGTTTTGCCATGTTGCCCAGGCTGGTCTTGAACTCCTGAGCTCTGGCAATCCGCTCATCTCGGCCTCCCAAAGTGCTGGGATTACAGGCGTGCGCCAATGCGCCTGGCCAAATACATATTTTTGAGGGCGTACCATCCATTAGGCCATCTGTGAGGTGATCATGAATAAAACAGACAAGATCTCTATGTTGAAATTACAGTCTAATCAGGATTTTATTGGATTTTATTCCATTTTGTTGGAAACTGGCAATATCTTTATGAGTTGTGAGAGTGAAATAAGATAATTCTGTAAAATGCAAAACAGTGGGTCCAGTATATAGTAGAGGTGATGATGGTTATAATTTTAAGTACCCTATAATACCATTTAACCTGTTTTCCTACATTAGAAAACTTATTTTTTCTTCTTAAATATTTGTCATATTATATATACTTCCACAGTAATTATAAAGCATTTATGTTTTGATGTATCTATGTTTTTAAGTTTACCTTCATCACTTATTAAGCAGGTACCAAGCTAAGGAGCATTCGAATATATTATTTCATTTATACCTTACAGTAACTTTATAATTTAGATGTTATCTCCATTTTACATGTAAAAAAATTGAAGTTAAATGATTTGCCAAGCTAATAAATAAACCTGGATTTATATCCTCATTAGTAAATAGCGGATTCTAGGTTCTAATCTAGCTTCTAAAAATGACAGGGGTGGTTGGTGGGACAGGAGAAACAGGGTAGGAAAAAGGAACCCATGACCAAAACAATAGTAGTTTTTAAAAAATTACTCTGCTAAACTGTGCTCTCTCACCACTTATGGTGCTACCTTCCAAGTGCTTTATAGAATCTTATTTTTATGGCCATTTTTGGCCTGTAAATATCTCATTGTTGGGGTTGGTAGTGAGTATTGGTTATTAGTTAGAATTTATTGTACTGTAAAAAGGTAATTCTTAAGATGATTTCAAATACAAATTGTTTCCCCCTGCTGATTTATGTTTAATGGTATTTTTGTAGAGTATCTCATTTGTGTTTATTTGTGAATCATTTTATGTTTCTTAACCCATTATGTGAAGTAATGTTGACCCTTGTTTTAATAGAAATTTTCATTAAGAAAATAACTGATTCAAATATATGTTAATTAGTGACAACTAAGGTGTTATCCAGCACACTTTTGGAAAAATTTGTAGCCTATTATCTAACTGATTTCAGGAATATTTGCTAAAGATAATAAACATTTACTGAGGCGTTTGCACATAATGCTATGTTTATATTGAAATGAAATTTTATCGTCCTTTCTATATATTTATGATTGAAAGTAAAGGTAGTTAACAATGTGGAAATGAACAGAGAAATCATAGCTATATGCTAAGTAAGACACTGAATAAGAATATACCCATATAAACCAAAGGCGAGGATTTTACAATGATAGGGGTTTGAGTTAGGAAATTAATTTTTTTTTTTTTTTTTTTTGAGATGTAGTCTCGCTCTATCGCCCAGGCTGGAGTGCAGTGGCGCGATCTCGGCTTACTGCGAGCTCCACCTCCCGGGTTCATGCCATCCTCCTGCCTCAGCCTCCCAAGTAGCTGGGACTACATGGGCCTGCCACCACGCCCGGCTAATTTTTTGTATTTTTAGTAGAGACGGGGTTTCACTGTGTAGCCAGGATGGTCTCGATCTCCTGACCTCGTGATCTGCCTGCCTCGGCCTCCCAAAGTGCTGGGATTACAGGCGTGAGCCACCACGCCCGGCAAAAGCAACTATTTTAAAGGAAGGGGCCGGGGAAGAAGAGAGCTCCGTGCTTCTAATGAGCAAAGGCAGCAACAACCTTGAGCTTCTGCAGCCCTTGGTATTTATTGGGTAGAAAGAGCAGGGAGGAGGAGCAAATGATTGGTCAGCTGCTTGATTGATCACAGCTTCATATTATTGCTAACAGGCTTCAGATGTACCTAATCACAAGAAATACTTATGCCTGGGTCGTGACTGCCCTCAGCATTCCTTCTGGGTGGCAGATGCAGTTTTTCAGTTTGCCAGCATCCTGCATTTATGAGAACAGTTGGCTGTTTACTCATATAGCCTCCAGTGGTATACTGAGTTGATCATGACCTTCACCCTTTTGGCCTCCAACATACAAAGTTAATCCTGCTGTTCTGCGCAGAAGTTCATGCAACTCTTTGCTTTGCTCCGACATTTGTGATACAAGATAACTGATGTTAGAGATTTCAAAATAAAACCACCATCAACCAACAAAAATACTGTGTTTAAAGATATATTATTAGATTCAATACAAATTTAGCCTAACTCGTACAGTTTTTCTGTGGAAAGGTAATTATTGGTATTCATGATGTTGACCAATACCAAGGTAACTGTGGGATTCTGAAGGGCTTTCTGATCAGTAAAAGTGAGTTTATGTTAATTTAATATGATTTAGTGTTAATTGAATTTTAGTCTTTTCTTTTTTCATGGTAGGCAAATATTTCCTATATTTGTGTATAGTCATAAGGCAGCCCGTTACGTAGAGAACAAACCTAATGCAGATAGCAACTTTTAAATTTTTCAATTTGTGAATGTTCTATATGTGAATAATTTGTTACTATTCTGTGGTGGGAAGGGGATATGGGATTATGGATATAGTGGCAGAGTTTAGTTTAGCTTCTTCGTTAAAACAGTTGTGGGTTGGCCTAAGAATATGATGATTTATACCATTGCTTCTCTGTGAAATACAGACTTCTAAAGTATAAATTTAATTTACAAATATACTTCTGAAAGTAAAAATTTAGGAGTTGCCTTGAAGTTGTTGCCACAAGAAACCAACTATTCTAAAGGAGTGATTTTCTTCATGTTTTATGCTTTGATCATTGGTTATATTCTGGGTGCTTAAGAAATAGTAATTTATTTATATGCAAGTTAAATAATGTAACTTCCTGTTAAACTGTTCTATCTCCTATCATGATAGGAAAGGAATTGTACTCCAGTTACATTATAATATGAAACAGATGGTCAGTGGGATGAAAATGTTTTAAAATAAGTATTTTAATATGTAATTTGTTTTACTCTAATCTCATATTTTAATTTTTATTTTCAGCCTCTCTAGCAATTATGATGCTCAAATGAAGAGCCTTTTAAGGATTGTGAGAATGTTTTGTCACGTCTTTCGAATTGGTCCATCCTCCCCCAGTAATGGAATTGATATGGGCTACAATGGGAATAAAACTCCAAGAAGCCAGGTGTTCAAGGTGAGAAAAGTATATGGCATTGTTAGGAAGATAGACGTAAAAGAGATGAATTTGACAAAGCATGCATTCATTAATCAGAAAGCTCATGAACAGGTTGTAAGTTTGGTTTATACCCATATCACTTTCAAAATTAGGCACACCTTTCTCCTCTCAACTCTGTCTAATCAACAGCAAGTTGGTGAGCTTTCTGTATTTTTCTTACAAATAAAATTTTTTATTCCATTGGTGTTTTATTCTAAGGGTAGAGATATTTAGTGTTTAAAATTAATTTTATTAAATTATAGGTTTTTAATGTAATATGCAGCCACCATGCTTTTGAAAGAAATGTATTTCTTATTAGTAAGGAAATAAAATGCACAGTTTTTATTTAGATTTTAATATGATATGTGTGTTAGATGTGTGTCTGTATGTGTTTTCAAAGTAAGGTACTTTCATTTACTGGGTTTGCTGACAGTTAATTCCTGAGATAACTGCAAGGAAGAGTTGTTGAGATATTTTCTTAAAATATTTTGTATTGCTTCAGCTGCCTTTCTAAGCACATATGGATGAAGTCCTTGGAAGATTCATGTAAAAACCAAGGGAGTTTTGCTACTCATGTTAAATTATAATTTTATGAAGTAAACAAAATGAATAGGACTATAATTGCTCTTGTTAATGTTTTTTTGGGTGACATTTTAAAGTAACAGATTTTAGAAAAATGTGTAATTTAATAACTTTGTGTTTTTTATTTCTTCATGTATTTATTTTTTGAAACGGAGCCTCACTCTGTTGCCTAGGCTGGAATGCAGTGGCACAATCATGGTTGACTGCAGCCTCTACCTCCCTGGGCTCAGGTGATGCTCCCACCTCAACCTCCCCAGTAGCTGGGACTAGAGGTGCATGCCACCATACCTGGCTAATTTTTGTATTTTTTGTTAGAGATGGGGCTTTGCCATGTTGCCCAGGCTAGTCTCGAACTCCTGGGCTCAAGCAGTCTGTCTGCCTCTGCCTCCCAAAGTGCTGGGATTGCAGGCGTGAGCCACTGCACCCAGCCAACTTACATTTCTTTAAACAATGGTTTGAGTATAAAATATAGGTTATTTATCAAAAAAGTGATATAAATGTTTTTATGTGCCACTTCCTTGAAAACTAGTTAGGATTGAAAGCTTTGCTGTCTCTAAAATTCAAAGCTAAACTAGTGTTCTATACTAAATGATTCTTTCCTTACATGGAAAATTTTTGCAAAAAGGTAAAAATAAAGTTTGCAAGAACTTTGACACTAGTAGATTAATACTTAGAATAGATATGGTAGTCTTTTAGAAAGGTTATGTATGAATGTCTGTCCATCTGTTTTACTCTCTTTAAAAAAATCAGTCTAGGAAGGACAGTTTTTAGCCATATATGTATGTGTGTGTGTGCACGTTGAGTGTGTATTTTTGTTTTCTTTTTTTTTTTTCTTATTGTGCCACCTCCTGGAAGAATGAAGTTATGCATTCTTGTAATTCATGTGGCTTTTCACGTACCACTTCCTTGAGCTCTAGTTAGGAGTGACGACTTACTGTCTTTGTAAAATTTTGATCTACATTATTGACCTACTCTTTTTGTCAGGGCTGTTTTAAGCAAGCTTTACTGCTTCAAACATTCATATCACACAAAGTTGTTTTTAATGTGTTCTGGCGTGGCTCACTTTGTTAGTGACGGAATCTACCCATGATTTGACTTTGACTCATACTTTCTACTCATCAGTAATGATGAATATAAAATCAAATCAGGTATAGATGTGGTCAATATTATTCAAATTGGGTTAGATTATATTTAATTTTGTCTGATTTCTTTGGTTAAAATTTCGATCTGCTACCTGTTAGCTAATATCAGAAAATATGTGTTAAGTAGCCTCTCTATAGGTGATTTAAATGATTTAAATATTGATTTAAATGTTAGTTTTCTACCTACACAGTCAATACAGACATAATAGAGTAGAAAAGGATATCTGTTTTTCCTTTTTAGCTTATGTTTAAAAAATAGAACCCAGACTTTATGTTTTGTCATGTGTCTATGATATATATAATATATAAATACTTTCTTATTTCAAGAATTTTGTTGGTATCTTTGTTTCATTTTTTAAGGTACTGCTTTCTACAGCATTGACAACTACTATTTCTTCTCATCACTTATTTTCTCTTAAATTTTGAACTTCCATTTTGTAAAACACTAATTGTAAAACTCAGCTAGTTTTTAAACACATTAATAAGTATTAACTGTTAAAGAATTTATTAGTCTCTTTTCATTCAGTTTTATGAATGAAACATGGAATCTTTGGGGATTGGCAAAATGATCTGCCCTTCCATTTACAAGGATAAAAATAGAAACTGTACATTGTCATCCATGGGAATCAGATCTCCTGTTCATTGTGGGGGTGATTTCAAGTAAAAATCTTTGCTAGTTACTGAGTTGCTGTGATGTTAGACTGGAAATACCATTTTAATTCTTACCACATTTTGTCTGAGGTAGCAATTGATCCCTAATTTCCATTTCATTAACAAGGTACTCTAATGCTACTTTATTGTTCAAATTAACTAATGGGTTTTCCATTAAGAATGAGTGGGTTTATAGGCCATGTGTTTTTAGTAGGTGAAATTGTTTAACATCCTGTTATTAGTTTTCTGATTTATTTTAGAAGTTCTTCAAGTTAGTCTTAACACATAGCCATTCTTTCAGCATTAAGAGATGTTTATCTAGTGCCTTGGGAAATTTGGAGCATTTGAAGGAGAAGATCATTTTTATTTTTGAAGCACAGTGAACATGGGGAAGACAATTTAGGCTTCCTGAGTCTTGCTGTGTTCTTTTTTTGTGAATAGTAAGCTGTGACTATTAATGGTTTCATAGACTTACAATTTGGAAATTTTGGTAACCAAGAAAGATTGTGAAACTTTTAACTTCAAGATCTTATCTTGTGGGTTGTGGCATTTGACATTAGGTTAAGAATAGTCAGACTAACAGGATATCAATGTACTATGAATGAACATTAAGTTAATAATACTTTTCTGCCAAATTCATTCCTCATTTCAGCACTTCTTGAAATTTTAAAAAATCGTTCAGTAAGCTCGAGATTGTATATTTTGAAATATGACTTAAAATGCTTATAAATCATGTATGATTGGCATATCATTGTTACTATATGTAGAATATAATTCTTCAGTAAGGATCACTCAATAATAATGAATGAAGCAGTATTTTCACAGTACCAAGAAACCTGCTAATATTTTCAGTAGTAATTAACTCATTGTTCGGTAACAAATGGTATGTATGGTGTTTCTTATTTAATGTATTTTATTATTTATGAATATAGAAAGTATCAGATATAGTATGCAATGGTTTATTTTTAATTTTAAAATTTATTTGAATCCTTTTTGTTGGTGGCTGCTACCATAGTTAGAAATTAAAGTTATTTTCATAGTATTCTTTTTTGTGATTGAAGAATGAATTTTCTGAATAGATCTTCAAAGAGAAAACTTCCTAGGTAAACTCACCTCAAGGTTGGGATTTAGTTTTAATGTATGTATGATTGAAGAAATAAAAGGTAAGAAAAGAGAGAAAAGTAAAGAAAGGTCCAATGTGGTTTATTACTTATCTTATTTTTTTTCTCATTCTTCTAATTATTTGCTGTGTTCCTTTATTAAAAACTCTGGCTTTTCGACATCTTTGTTGTCACTTTTACACATATCCATTTTTTTCTTTGGTGTTATTTCTGCACCACTGAAAATTTGTCTTTCATTTTTTACACATTGTCAATATTTGAAAATAGGATCACTGTTGGTTTAGACTCAGTGCTCATCTGCATGATCAGCCTGTGTCATTTCTTGCGTTAGGCCTTACCTCCTTTCAGTGTGTTGATTTTCTAGGTTTTATCTTTTCTCATTTAGAGGCCAATTATTCTTTTTTCTTTTTGTTTCAAGCAGTTTTATATCACCACCTGTTCTTTCCATTTCAGAAGTTCATTTTCTGATATAAAGCTAAATAGTTTTGCTGACATAAGTTCTTTTCATCTTCTACAGCAGGTTCAGTGTTTTGCTCATAAAGAGAAACTATAGTTTCAACTTGGATCATGATTAGAATTTTCAGTGAAGGTATCTGTCAGTATTTATGGCAGCTGGGTGCTTCTTGCCCTTCTTTAAGCAGTTCAGGGACTCCAAATCTGTCAACCGTTGTGAGTATGGAAGAGCCCTCATTACGGGTGAGAGGGATGCTTACTTTAACTTCGAAGGAGGGTATAATTTCTCTTAAAAAAGGAAACATTGTACTTAACCCGACTACCTAGTGCATAGTACTGGTTGAGTGAGTGAACTAGGTTTTTGTTGATTGTAGTAGTGGTGGTTTTGTTGGTTTTGTTGTGTTTTTCTGCTTTTTGGTTGAACGTGTAAATGAAGGCCTGAGGTGATTTAATTATTTGCAAATTCAGTAAGTAAAATATTTTCAAAAAGAGAATATTACAGAAATCTGAAGAAAGGCTGAAAGTGGCAGTGAAGGTATTTGTTAGATAATAATTGGGAAGAATTTCCTGGCAGAATAGTTCAAACATTTTCTAAGGTTCCAAATATGGTTGTATAATCTCCTTCCATGGCGGTCTTTAAAAGAAAGATTATTTCTTTCCTTGAAATATTTTAAAGGTGAGTCTTTCTGTAGCACATGGTGTAGTTTGTAGCATTCTGTAATCATGTCAGATTCAAAAAGTGAGATAAACTTTTATATTTATTTGCAGAAGGATAGCTAATCATTCTCAATAAGAATATTTAAAATAGTGTAGGATGAAGGGATTGTTTAACCACTGTACCACTTATAAACTATTAATCTTTATTTGGGATTAAAAATATCCTAGCAGGTTTTTTTTTTTGTTTGTTTGTTTGTTTTTTTTTTTTTTTTGGAGACAGTATCTCACTCTTTCACCCAGGCTGGAGTATAGTGACATGATCACAGCTCACTGTAGCCTTGACTTCCGAGACTCAAGCAATCCTCCCCCTTCAACCTCCTCAGTAACTGGGACTACAAGTGCATGCCTGTGTACCCAGCTAGAATAATAATAGGAAATAGTTTATTCTCTCCTCATCTTTTTTTTTTTTAATAGAAAGGTGTTAATCTTTACTTGGAATTAAGAATTTGCTACTCAGTATTTTTTTTTTTTTTTTTGAGATGGAGTCTCGCCCTGTCACCCAGGCTGGAGTGCAGTGGTGTGATCTTAGCTCACTGCAACCTCTGCCTCCTGGGTTCAAGTGATCGTCCTGCCTCAGCCTCCCGAGTAGCTGGAATTATAGGTGTGTGCCACCATGTCTGGCTAATTTTTTGTATTTTTAGTAGAGATGGGATTTCAATTCACCATGTTGGCCAGGCTGATCTCGAATTCCTGACCTCAAGTGATCTACCCACCTCGGCCTCCCAAAGTGCTGGGATTACAGGCGTGAGCCACCATCTCCGGCCTGCTAGTCAGTATTTTAATAGAAGTTTGGTAATTGTATCTCTTGTTTTAAAAAAACACTAATTATTAGAAATGGATTGTGTCTGTAAGTATATGTATATACATAAATATGCCACATTTTGTAATTTCTTGTCAAAAATTATCCAAATTCTAGGAATTATATGTAATGAAAGGAGCACAGTAAAAAAGCTGTTCATTAGGTTCTTTAGGGATTCTCATTTTTTAATTGAAAAAAGACATTTGTTTAATTGAAAGTTGTTGACATTGATCATATTAATACAGAAAATGTTGAGTGATTATACTTAGGGGTTCTCATTTTTTAACTGAAAAAATCTTATTTGTTTAATTGAAAGTGGTTGACATTGATCATATTAATACAGTAAATGTTAAGGGTGATTATATATAGTAGTAATGTGTGCTTTTAAAACTAAACATTTGAAAATTAAAAGAAGAAAGATTGTGAATTTTTTGTTAGATTTAGTTTTTCCTTTTTATTACAAGGAATACATACATACAAATTAAATTATTGCCATAAATGAAGAAATTGTCATTTATGTAGCATTTGTATAATTTTATTACTTACCTTTAGGCATTACTATCACGTTAACTTGGGAAGATAGAAATGACTAGAGTAAATTTTCTCTTCTATAATATTTGTCTAGTTGTGTTTTGTTTTTTTTTTTTTAATCCTGTAGTTTAAGAATGATGTTTAAAAAACACTTTTGTTTCTCTCAGCCTCTGGAATTGCTTTGGCACTCGTTAGATGAATGGCTAGTTTTAATAGCCACAGAATTGATGAAAAACAAAAGAGACTCAACAGAGATCACTTCTATTTTACTGAAACAAAAAGGCCAAGATCAAGATGCTGCTTCCATTCCTCCATTTGAACCTCCAGGACCTGGGAGCTATGAAAATCTGTCCACTGGCACAAGGGAATCTAAACCAGATGCTCTTGCAGGGAGACAGGAAGCCAGTGCAGATTGTCAGGATGTTATTTCTATGACAGCTAACCGGCTAAGTGCTGTCATTCAAGCTTTTTACATGTGCTGTTCTTGTCAGATGCCTCCGGGGTAAGAAAGTTTTGGCTTATTATTTTTTTTTTCTCTGATAGATGATGAAAAGCAGTGATACTTTTGTAATTTCAAAAACAACAAATAATAATTTGTTGATTTAAAGTTTTCTCCTTGTTTTAAGATACTCATACTAATCTAGATCTAGTAGGGAATATTTAAATATTAAGCAGTATATATTATTACTTTGTAGAATGGTGAATGTCACCTTGTATAGGATCTCTTAATTATGTATTTGAAATGTGTAGAGCAGAAATGCACCAAATTTCAAGATTTTTAAAAAGTCACTTGTTGATATCGTCTGCTGATGAGAAGTTAGAATCATTTTACAAATTGGCTAGGCATACTTCAGTTTCCTAAACTTACAAAGAAGATTCAAAACCAAATTCTTTTTTTTTTGGTTTAGAAGCCAGTCCAGTTCAGTATATATTTATCAAGTTCGCTATATTATATCACAAACTTTTGCCTGTGTATTCTGATTGATGTTTTCCCCCCACAGAATGACTTCACCTCGTTTCATTGAATTTGTCTGCAAACATGATGAAGTTTTAAAATGCTTTGTTAATAGGTAAGCTTTCTGGGTTTGTGGAGTACCCTGCTAGCCTTTCCTCTCTTTACTTACAGTTTCATCTAAACAGAAAAAATACTATTTCTCGTACTATTCAAAATATGCTCAATAACAAATGAAACTTTAATAGATATGGATTATTATGTGTTTTTCTTCTGTTTCAGTGTCAGTGTATCTGAATTTGCATTTCACTTAATGCTACTCATTCTTCCTGTCCATTTAAACAAAATATTTTTCTTTTAGAAATCCCAAAATTATATTTGACCACTTTCACTTTCTCCTTGAATGTCCTGAGTTGATGTCAAGATTCATGCATATCATAAAAGCACAGGTAGAAATTTTTCTTCATCTTTTTATTCTATCTAATGAAATTAATTTCTAAAATTCTAATACTGTTTAGTGGAATAATTATTACACTTCAGACATTCTGTTGTAAGAGGAATGATTGCATGTTACTTTAATATGAGGAGTAAGTTTTCTTCAAGAAATATGTACTGAGTGCCTACTATGTACAGAGGTCTGTACAAAAACAACAGAACACATTGCCACATTTCCTGAAAGGAGCTTAATGAAACTCTTTAGTTCTATAAGGCTGATTGTCCTTTTGAAAAGGATTTTAGCCCCCAAATACATTTGGGAAATTACATAACATATGCCCTTTGGAAATTTATAAATCACATTGGCAGCATGTTAAAAGGCTTTGAGAAGCCCTTCAGTAAAAATAGTGATTTAGCTTTGTTAATCCTCCTAACTTATTTGACCTGACCACCTTTCCCCTACCAGATGTGTACCTGTTCATTCCATACATCTCATGTTACATGAAGCTAGCTGGAGGAAAGCTTGTTTTGCTCCTTACCAGCTATGTGAACTTTGGGCACGTTTCCTAATATCCTTGAGCCCTTGGTTTCTTCATCTACAAAATGGAGATAATGACAGCAGCCTCATAGAACTATTGTCCAGAATAAATTGTCAGGAATGACTGTGATATATGCTCAATAAATGGTAGTTGTTTTGGAGATAGAAAACTTACTTCCCTTCTCTAAGAGGATTCTAATTCAGTCTGGCTGGGGAGATAATAAACATATGTATAAAATAGTAACTACAACATAACCTGGATCTTTAGGAGTTTAAGGGAGGAAGAGCTGGCTCTGGCATCTGTAGTCAGGGGAAATTTCAGAGGAGGCAGATTTTAAGTTACCTTGAGAAAGCTTGAAAAAATATGCAACATTTTGATGGGAGTAAACAAAGAGGGAGAACTTTCTAGCCACCATGTGGGCTGGAGCATGTAGACCGAAAAGTATGTAAAACTGCAGTATTGCAGCAGAAATTTTGTGTTGATAGGAGCAAGATAGAGTTATGGAAAGGTAGATTGAGGTCATCCAATGATGAGCCTTGATTTCCAGATTGAAGAATTTTCTTTGTTTGCTAGGCTGTTAGGAGCCACTGATACCCTTGCTTTAGGAGAATGGCATAATTCTGGCAAAGTTTTAGAAAATAATTTGCCAGATATGTAGGACAGACTGTAGGCAATGGTTTGGTTAGTAGTTGTAAGATAATAAATAGGATAAGTGGTTTTTAATGTCTTTAGGGACACTTGTCCTTTCAGAAGTTAAGCTATGAACTAATTTTTATAAAATTATACATAACTATATAGAGGGATCTTTTGACATCTGTTTAATAATGATAATGTGAAAGAGAAGGCAGTAATAATGACTTACATTTACTGATTTTAGGTCAGGTACTATGTATTTGCTTCCATGAATGATTTTATTTTCTTAACCATTGTATAAGATGGCTACTCTTTTTTTTGTAAGCTGAAGTGGTTAAGTAACTTGTTTAAGTCATTCTGCTACTAAATGGGAGAACCAGAATTTAAAAGTCTGTCTGGTTCTCAAGTTCAATTTCTTTCTTTATTTTATTTATTTATTTTTTTTGACACAGGGTTTTACCTGTCACTCAGGCTGGAGTATAGTTGATCTGAGCTCACTGCAACGTCTGCCTCCTGGGCTGAAGCGATCCTCCCAGCTCAGTCTTTCAAGTAGCTGGGACTACAGGTGCATACCACCACACCTGGCTAATTTTTGTGTTTTTTGTAGAGACGGGATTTTGCCATGCTGCGCAGACTGGCCTTGAACTCCTGAGCTCAAGTGATCCACCTGCCTTAGCCTCCCAAAGTGTTGGGATTATGGGCATGAGCCACCACACCCGGACAAGTTCAATTTCTTAACCTACACTGTATGATACTGTTCTGGGGCAAATGAGATAATAGGTGAAAGAAGATTTTAGTTTTTGAGAGATAGTCTGCTGTTTTTAATATAGGTTGGTGCAAAAGTAATTGCGGTTTTTGGCAGTTACTTTTAATTGCCAAATTAAAATTGTCAAATTAAAATAGCAAAAACCGCAATTACTTTTGCACCAACCTAATACTGTCTCTGCTTTTTACTTTCTATTCCTTTTTCCCTTCCTGGACAATTTAGTCAAAAAACATCTGTATTAGGTATCCACTTTGTTGACCCAGAGAGGGAGGTGTTTGTTGCCTGACTAGGGTGAGGAGGGTGTCTACATGTGTAGTGGTGGCCTAGTGTGGGGTTTTGGAGTTTGGATGTGATTAAGAAGTGTGTCTGTGTAGAAGAGGGTCCCAGTGTGAGTCATGTGGGTTAGAGTGGCATAAGGAGGATGTCCATGTTGGCGGTGGTTGCAGCTGATCAGTGCTGTCTGATGGAGCCTCAGTGGGATGCAGGGGCCATGTCAGTGATTGGAGATTGGTTACATACCAAGGGAGTGGGGTTGCAGGTTGATCAAATAAGCAAGTATGAGAGTCTAACTTCTCGTTGTTGGAGAAAGGAGTTACAAAATGGAGGAAATTAGAAGGAACCTTGTGTTGAATTGGAGTTACCAGTTTGAATTTAGTTTTAAATTTACATAGATACATGTAGCAAACCTGGCACCCAGCTCTTGGTCTCTCAGTGCCATTCTCAATGAACCAGGGCTCCTTGGAGAAATGGCTAATTCCAGGGCTAGATCAGGGAAAGTATAAAATAAGCCTGCAACATCTTATTGTGTAAGAAAGTAAGGAAGTGTTCAAAGACTGATGGGGTTATGTTAACATGACTCGGAAGACAGCTTGAATGGACTCCCACTACCAAATTTGGAAGAATTTGAGCATCAAAATAAATAATGATGGCAACATAAACAGGAATCTATGAGTCTGTACTGAAAAAAGTTAATGAATAAATGGAAAGTCTGATGAAGGGTAGGATGATTACACAGTCTCAGATTATCTCCCAGCAGAATAATTGCAAAGAGAAAAAGGGTGCCTTACAGTAGAGAAGCTTAGCAGTGATCAAAGCAGACATAGCAGTGTGCCAGCTGATAGGATGCTCTGAGGACATCATGGCATCACTTCTGTGGTATTCTTGCCAAGGATACACACCTTAAATCTAATCAGGAGGAATCATCAGACTAAATACAGTTGAGGGACATTCTACAAAATTAACTGACCTGCAGTCAGTTTTAAAGACCTGCAGTCTTTAAAACTATCAAGGTTATGAAAATTAAGAAAACATTGAAGAAATGTACCAGAGTGAAGGAGACAGGACAGGACAATTAAAGGCAGTTCATGAATCATTTTGCAATAAGAGGACATTATTAGAAAATTGGCAAGACTTGAAATGGGATCTGATGTAGTAGTGTTATCAGAGTTAATTTCTGATTTTGATGGTTGTTATCTAGTTATAGAGGAAAATTCCCTTGTTTGTAGGAAATAAATGCCTAAGTGTTTATAGGGGACTGGACATTATATTGGCAAGTTGCTCTCACATTAGAGGAAAAAAAAATACTTTGTACTCTACTGTACTTAGAAGTTTTCTGTAACTTGGAGATTGTCCTCCTCTAGAAAGTTAAAAAGAACAACTACCTCTGCTAAGGGATTGACTTCTTCTTCTGTTGGTGGTTTTCAGGTGGCCAGTAGTTAAAGGGAGAAACATTTTGTATTGCTGTACAAATGCTATTAAGAGGAGCCTCTATAATCAGTCCTGTTTTGTGAATTATTTATGGAAATGCAGGTACTCTAGAAAGTTTACATACAAAAATGTACCATTTGGCTGTGTAGGTGTTTGTATGTGTGTGTGTGTGTTTGATCTGAGCTTTTGAAGGTAGCAGTTTGTACCTTTTAATGTTCCACTTGAATTACTTGAAAAGGTTCCATTTGTTTTTATTTCTTGGTTCACATTTCATAGATAAATGATATAGTTTAATATCTTATAATGGGCAGTAAGTTTTCTTTTAAATAGTTATTGACAATAATTTTAACATTGCTGTGAATGATAATAAGAACAGTATCTATTTATTGAGCATTCTAGGTATTGAGTATTAGAGCATTAGTATAAATGCTTTTAATGTATTTTTCTCTTTGGTAAAATGGGGACAAAAGTTCCTTTTTCTCATAGTGTTGTGAGGATTGTATGTGGTAATGCATTGTAAAGTGCTTCAAAAAGTACCTGGCTTATAGGTGCTTAATAAATGATTGCTAATTTATTATTATGATTATTATAATTATCATAATTATGTTCTTTATTTGAATTATTTAATCCTAACAGCTCTTGAAGTAGGTATATTCTTTTCTCTGTTTTACAGATGAGAAAACTAAAGTTCTGTGAGGATTAATAATTTCCTTAAGATAAGTCTAGTAAGTCACAGAGTGAGGATTTCAAACCATGTTTATCTGACTTCAAAGCCCATACTTAAATAATTGCTTCTGTGTAATGTTTTTTCTCTCCTCTTAAACCAAAGTTTTAGAAATAGTCAGCATTAGAATTTCAAGTACTTTATATTCCAGCTTGTTAACTGAAAATGAGATATTTAATTTATATGCACAGTAATGCATATAACACCAGTGCTTTATAAAAAATGTGGAAGACTGTTACAAGTATGGACAAAATTACACATTTAACTTTAAAAAGGTAGCATTTATTCTTTTCTTACTGAAAGCAAATATTAAAAGGCAGAAGTTCATCTCTCATCGATCATATTGTTTTTATTAAGAATTAATAACAAGTGATATTTGAATCTTTTAAAACAAACCTATTTAATTTAGCTCAGATGAAGAAATTTATTGGTGTCCTAAAAGCCACCTGGAAGATAACCTTTTTGTGGTGTTGGATGGTATTCATCATATTTATCTCTTGAAACTCTTAGCTTTTGTGATGGTATTGCACCACCTTGCTTCTCCTTTGACTTTTCTTGCCGTCTGTATCATTTGCTAAGCAAATTCTCAGTCATGACTTGTGATCATAAACTTCTTTGTTCTTGGTATTTATTCTCTGTATCTTTCATCTCTTGAACCTTATCCTGTCTCCAACTTTACCTTTGTTCATGTTTTTATTTTCAGTGTCTCAGCTGCATCACTGTCCAGTATCTCCTCCTAAATCCCTAATAGTTACACCCCACTATATCTTTAAACTCACGATACATAAAATCTTACTCATATTTCCACCAGTACCTTCTAGGAGTGTGGGGGTAGGTTATGGGGAAAGGGCTTTTCCACTTTAAGTTATTTCTATTCATAAGTTCTATCTTGCAGAGATCTTACCTTACTTTTTTTTTTGTAGAGATAAGGTCTCAGTTTGTCACTCAGGCTGGAGTGACAAAGTGAGCACACTACAATTATAGCTCATTGCAGCCTTGAACTCCTGGGTTAAAGTTTTCTCCCACCTCAGCCTTCTGAGCAGCCAGGACTGTAGGCGCATACCACTACGCTTGGCTAATTAAAACATTTTTTTTTTTTTGGTAGAGACAGGGTCTCACTGTTGCCCAGGCTGGTCTCAAACTCCTGGGCTCAAGCGATCCTCCTGCCTTGGCCTCCCAAAGTGCTGGGATTACAGGCATGAGCCACCATACCCAGCCTCTTCTCTTACTTTTAATGCTTATTCAAAGAAGTAGTATCTCTCGGATTGGCTTCATTGTTCCTCTTTGCTACCATGACCAGGACTTCTATAGCTCATGCTTCATTGTTGAGAAATTGATATTATATATATATATATTGTGTTACTCTGTGTTAGTCACATCTCTTTAACTCTATTAAACAGTTTTTAGCAAGTTCTTGGAGTTTTTACTGCTCTTACATTACATGCAGTGTTGGTACATAGTAAGTACTCAGTACTTTCTGATTAATCAAAAATTGTAGATAACTCACAGTTTGCTTACCTGGCAGATGAACAAAAGGGAGAGACTCTCTTTGCTATTCAAGAGATCTTATTCTTCAATTTTTAGGGTGGAGAATGGGAAGGGATAACAAATTACGTTCCAATTTCTGCATGTATTCTAAAGGATAGAAGTAAGAATAAAGTTAGGAGTAAGAGGCCGGGCGCAGTGGCTCATGCCTGTAATCCCAGCACTTTGGGAGGCTGAGATGGGTGGATCACCTGAGGTCAGGAGTTCGAAACCAGCCTGGCTAACATGGTGAAACCTCTCTCTACTAAAAATACAAAAATTAGCCAGGCGTGGTGGTGCGTGCCTGCAATCCCAGCTACTTGAGAGGCTGAGGCAGGAGAATCACTTGAATTCAGGAGGCAGAGGTTGCAGTGAGCAGAGATCGTGCCACTGCACTCCAGCCTGGACAACAGAGTGAGACTTTGTCTCAAAATGACAACAACAACTACAACAATAAACCAAAATAAATAAATAAGATTAGGTGTAAGAGATTATTTTCATGAAAAATTAAATGGAACACGCAACGTAATTTTTCTGGGTGTGAAAATTCATTGTAATAAGGCTTGGATTTAAAAGAATTGAGAATAAATATATTCAATTACATGTCTGATATTAAGTTCTGAGACATAACCAAATTTATCAAGTCTTTTGTGTTGAAAATGTAGGAATTTAAAAAAATACATTTCTCTAGGTAGTCAAACTATTTCAGCTAAGTTCTGTCTTTTTGTAAATAGTTATTGAAATGTTCAAACATTATCCAGTAACTCCTTATTGTAAATAAAGATCTAAGAATGATTATTTGTAGAAAAGGCATTTAGCAAGCTAGTAAATCTGATAATTAGATGACTGATACACTGCTAACATATTTTACTCTTATTTTTTGAGCTAGCCTTTTAAAGATCGCTGTGAATGGTTCTATGAACATTTGCATTCAGGACAGCCAGATTCAGATATGGTGCACAGGCCAGTGAATGAAAATGATATCCTGCTGGTTCACAGAGGTATGCTTAACAAAGAAACTGATATATGTGTGAAGCACAAAGTGCTTTTTATTATAAATTTTAATATGTAAAATTAACCAATGCTACATATTTAGATTCTATTTTTAGGAGTAGCTGTGAAGTTGTGTCAAAAGCAAATTGTGCAAAGCTAAAGCAAGGGATTGCTGTACGGTTCCATGGAGAAGAAGGCATGGTGGGTATAAAAGAAGATGATGTAGAAATCACTGTATGTAAAGAAAGATTGAAATGCCTTTTGAATAAAGTTTAATATTTAGTTGATAAAGGAAGAAACTTTATATTTAAATTTTGTTATTTAGAAAAAAATTTCCCAATATAACATATTTCTGTTGATGCTTAATTTTATTTCTTGAATTCAGGGTCAAGGTGTTGTGCGTGAGTGGTTTGATATTCTGTCCAATGAGATAGTCAATCCTGATTATGCATTGTTTACCCAGTCAGCTGATGGTAAGTTGTACAGTCTAGATGACTTTTTCTGCAACTTGTCACATTTTTCACACTATTTCAGTACATTTTATTTTTGATTTCCACAGCAGACCTGTGAGCTAGGTGGGATATTCTTATTTTATAGATGAGAAAACTGAAATTCAGAGTTTTTATCTGCATTCACACAGTTAATAAGTAGTAGAATCATAAGTGGAACCTGACTCAGTCTAACATTTGTTCCTCTAAACAGTTGGTTCCCAAATGCTTGTCTCAAGGACTAGTGTTGGCCCAAAGAGGTTTCTTATCAGTCCTTTGTAAAATAAAACTAAATTGGTTCAATTTAAGGATTATCCTTGAGTCTACATTTTTTGAATTAAATGTTTTATTTCATAAATTAATGGTGCTTGTAGATGGCCTTAAACAAATAAAAGTCCCTATTTGGAAAAATAAAAATTTGCTAACTCTATTTGAGTTTCCAAGTTTTAAAATATATTGGTTAGGAAAACCCAAGTCTAGAAATCATGATATAAAATTTCAACTCTTAATCTATTTATGTATACTAACTTTATTTTCAGTCATTTTGAGAGATCAAGACCTGGCTACTATAAAGCTCTTATTGAACCATATAAAACAGATAATTAACTCTCCTTGTTGAAATGGTGCTTGTGCCCTATAGAGTCGTAATTTGCTGTTGTAGACTAAATGGAATTAGTTATCACCTCATTTGTGTGAGGCATATTTGAGAGCTCTCTAACTTAATAAAGACATATTCCAAGTGAAGGTGGGATTTCAGTTTTCAAATGCTTTGCACAGTCGCTTGTTTTTCCTAAAAATCTTTTCTCTCCCCAAATGTTTACATTCTTTTATCAGGAGAGAATGCTTCATTAATTGTAGCTTCTGATTGCTTCCAACCAAACTAGCAGCAAATCCCTATTTGATCAGAAGGATGATTTTAGGGGAGGCAAGTGGGAGTAGGCTGCAGTAGAGCTAGGCAGCTGCAGGCATTCATCCCTGTGATGGGTTTCGTGGATACACTTTGAGTATTTGAAATTATGTAGGAACATGGAACTGCCTGCTTTAACTCTGTAACCTTTAATTCTTTGCTCTGAGGTGAATTTGGTGTCTTTGTGAATGACGAGTTCAGTGAAGTCATGAGTTTAATTATTTAGGCCTAATCTTTGAAGCTAGATCTAGCATTATATTTTAGACTTATTTCTTCTCTTTATATCCTTTATTCTAAGTCTACTTAGCTTAATATCTGAAAAACAGATTTGGTGTGGAATCATTAGTTGAGGTACTTCCTTAATGTTACAGATTTATAGCAGAGCAAATGTTGAAGTACATAGACCCATAAAGTTTTTTGTTTTTTTTTTTCTTTGAGACAGAGTCTCGCTCTGTCACCCAGGCTAGAGGGCAGTGGCGCAATCTTGGATCACTGCAGCCTTGACCTCCCGGGCTCAAGGGACCCTCCACCTCAGCCTCCCGAGTAGCTGGTATGGCTGAGGTGGGAGGATCACTTGAGCTGGGAGACCAGCCATGGCGCCTGGCTAGTTTTTGTATTTTGTAATTTCTCTATTCTTTTTGTGGAGATGAGGTTTCGCCATGCTGCCGAGGCTGGCCTCAAACTCTTGAGCTCAGGTTATCTACCCGCCTCGGCCTCCCAAAGTTCTGGGATTACAGGTGTAAGCTACTACGTCTGGCCAAACATTTTGATTTATCTTTTTTGTAAGCCATATCAGTCTCCTCTTTGGTGTCATAGTATTAATAAATTAAAATCAAGCTGAAATATTTTCACGTTCTCAGGTTTAGTTGACAAAGAGAATTACATATAGGAATCAAGAATTTCTAAATGTGGGGAATGTTTGGGTAGACCCGATATCTATAATAATTTTTTAAAGAACTTGTTTTCTAATGAAATTAAGATGCTTACTGTAGTGAAATAGTATATTTGTTATGAATTTGTCCTTTGGGTTTATACATGGTGAGAATCTTGACTGCTATTCTTTTGATACAATCTTGGGGCCAGTAAACTTAACTATTCTGCGCCTTTGTGTCCTCATTTAAAAATGATGATACCTGCTTGGGCGCGGTGGCTCATGCCTGTAATCCCAGCACTTTGGGAGGCCGAGGCGGGCAGATCACGAGGTCAAAAGATCAAGACCATCCTGGTCAACATGGTAAAACCCCATCTCTAACTGAAAATACAAAAATTAACTGGGCATGGTGGCATGTGCTTGTAGTCCCAGCTACTTGGTAGGCTGAGGGAGGAGAATCTCTTGAACCCAGGAGGTGGAGGTTGTAGTGAGCTGAGGTTGTGCCACTGCACTCCAGCCTGGTGACAGGGCGAGACTCCGTCTCAAAAAAAAAAGAGAGGCCGGGCGCGGTGGCTCACGCCTGTAATCCCAGCACTTTGGGAGGCCGAGGCGGGCGGATCACGAGGTCAGGAGATCGAGACCATCCCGGCTAAAACGGTGAAACCCCGTCTCTACTAAAAATACAAAAAAATTAGCCGGGCGTAGTGGCGGGCGCCTGTAGTCCCAGCTACTTGGGAGGCTGAGGCAGGAGAATGGCGTGAACCCGGGAGGCGGAGCTTGCAGTGAGCCGAGATCCCGCCACTGCACTCCAGCCTGGGCGACAGAGCGAGACTCCGTCTCAAAAAAAAAAAAAAAAAAAAAAAAAAAGAGAAAAGATGATAACCTATTTTTTGTAATGTGGTAAGAACTCAGTTAGCTGATATGTGAAAATGCTTAGTTGGTGCCTGGCATATAGAAAGTATAAATATTATATGCTATTATTATTACATGAAAATGATATTATTGTATACTAGGATTTTTCTGAGAGCATGAAAATAGTTGGGGGAATCACAGCTATATATATTTTTTGAACTTAAAATTTATCATAAACTTTTAATTCTATTTAAAATTTTCAAGTTAAAAACTGTTACTCCTTTTCTGAAGATTTTCTCCCTATATGTTTCCTTTTTTTTTTTTAAAAAAGTCTCCTTATCTATTCTTTTTAAGCATCTAGATTTCTCAGAAAGTAATTAGAGAAGGAATTAAACACAGAGCTAGGGGAGGAAAGTAGAATCATCAGAAATCTTTGTTGGTCCATAGCTGTAATCATTCATTATTTTAACAGGTAAAAAATATTTGTGATTATTCTCAGAATATTATATTTTTGGGATTATGATTATATTTGTCTTTGAAGTCTGCCTTTATCTCACAAAGCTTTGCTTTGGCTTTTAATACCAGGTCTTGCTTCATGACAGTGAATTATTCTCCAAAGGTCCTTAACAGTGAATGATGAGACTCACATGACTTATTTAGGTTATTCCCATAGGCTTGCAAATTTATACCTTATATCTAAATAAACTAGTCAGCAGGTTAACCTGGTGTCAGCACCGAGAAATCAAAGACCAGTGAAACACAGAGTGAATTATTGTCAAAATGACTAAAGATTTCACTTTCCAATACATTTCTACCTTTTGTTTTTCTTTGATGCTATTTCATTAGGTTTATCCGTTGTTTCTTTTAGCCCAGGCATTTACAATAGTAGTATATAGCATGAGCTCATTATGTGTTTGTTGAATGGATGAGTAAATTTGTAATATGAATTAGTGACCATCACAGAAAAATAGGAAAAATAGGAAAAGAAAGTTATTTAAAGTTGAGGTTTTGGCATTAGGTTTTAACTTTTAACTAGTAGTATTTTTTTTTTGAGACTTTTTTTTTACGGTGGTGAAATACACATATAAATTTACCATTTATATTATTGAAAGTGTACAATTCAGTGGCATTTAAGTACATTCACAGTGTTGTGCAACCATCGGCCACTATCTATTTTCAGAGCTTTTTCATCACCCCAAGCAGAAATTCTGTACCCGTTAAGCAATATCTCCCATATCCCCTTTCCTCAGCCTTAGGTAACTACTAATCTACTTTACCTATCTATAAATTTGCCTATTCTAGATATTTTATAAAAGTGGATTCATATTCCATTGCACTGGATTTTCATAGTAATTGGTAACTTATTGCCCTTGCCATTTTTACTTTCACCTCAGAGGTAATTGTTTAAACTTAATTGTTTGCCATTAGAAAGACTTGGTTACCTTGTGGACTGAGGTGATTTTCTAATCATTGTTAACAGGCATCAAGTTCATTGACTAGGCCTGTCACTTAAGAGCAGTTGTACATTTACAGTTTTTAGTTATTCTCATAGTGTTCTACTCCTGAAGCAGCAAAAACTAGCAAATACTTACTGCACTGGCACATACAGATGAATGGGATAATGTCTGTCCTAGCGAACAGCCTATTGCCATACTGCCTAGGAAACTGTGTATATGTGCGTGTGTGTGTGTGTATGTGTATGTGTATATGATCCTCTGCTGTATTATTTCCAGAGTGTCTCTGATGATCTTCCAACTAATTTCAGTCAAAAGTACTCTAAAATTTTCTCTCTGCCATAGATTACTGTGACAAATATGTATGAATAAATGATTATCATCTATACTTCCAATTCTACTTACCACTTGTTATATTTTCCACAAAGAACATTTCTCTGGAAGTTTATACATAATGTAACCTTAGCTTTGCTGAAGTTGTATGTGAATTAGTTTATCTGCATCGAAGTAATCTTTCTTCTGCATATAGATTCTTAATAATATATTATTTTGTATTTATTTCAATAGGAACAACTTTTCAGCCTAATAGCAACTCTTATGTAAATCCTGATCACTTGAACTATTTTCGGTTTGCTGGGCAGATCTTGGGATTAGCGTTGAACCACAGGCAGCTGGTCAATATTTACTTCACACGATCCTTCTACAAGCACATTCTTGGTATGGCTCTATTATTATTTCTGCAGACATTTATTTATATTGTTTTTTTTTCAGTTTGAGGAAAACTAGATAAGCAGTAGTATTTTGGATGAGATAATTTTTATTTTGATTGGAGCCCATCTGTATATGTAAGCCATTCGGGGTTTGAAGGAGAAAAAAATGACCTACCTTTTTTTTTTCCAAACACCTCTAGTTAAGTTAGCCTTTTTTTTTTTTTTTCAATTTTTGTGTGTGTATTTTTATGCTAAGAATACATTTCAGTGTGAGTATACTTAAGATAATTGGCATTTTTGAAGTTTATAATAACTTCCTGAATAGTTATTTCAAAGAAAGATTACATTGTAACAATGTGAAAGAAACACAGAATTAATTTAACAGACTTTCAAATTCAGGAATCCATTTAAAATATGCTGTGTGTAGGATTGTATTATATTTTGCAGTTTTTCAGAATATCTGTAGAGGGCAGTATTTTACCATTAAATAGATAAGGGAAGGCAAAACCAGACTATAACTGCTGTATGTTTGCATTTTTTAGGTATTCCTGTAAATTACCAAGATGTGGCATCCATTGATCCAGAATATGCGAAAAATTTGCAATGGATTTTAGATAATGATATAAGTGATCTGGGTCTAGAACTAACTTTTTCTGTTGAGACTGATGTGTTTGGAGCAATGGAAGAGGTGCCTTTGAAACCTGGGGGTGGGAGTATTCTTGTGACACAAAATAATAAAGTGAGTATTTCAGTTTTTACCTTAACCATTGTTTGTAACTTGGCCCTGATAGTTTGCTAGTTACTCTAAATTCTTCTGGCACTTGTAGAAAAACTTTTACTATTACAGTATCATAGCAGATAAAACGTTTAAGTTAATAAAACAATCAAATGTTAAATTTTGAATTAGAAAGGATTATTTTGATAATTGTGCTAGCTGTGCTGAGTTGGTTCCTAAAAAATCGAGAGCACTTCAGCTGATAGTATAAATTGGGCATATGCATTTTGAGAAATTTGATTAGAAATATAAGCTTAAATGAAGATATTTGCAAAAATTGCTCTTTCATGTTTTTAAAGTGTAATATTAAAGAATTCTAATAGAGAAAAGAAATGCCAGTGTTTAAGCTTTCCACATACTTTTGGGATCCAGTAAGTTTGTTCGACCTTTTGATATTTTTTTGACTGTATAACTTGATTATTTATTTATTTATTTATTGAGACGAAGTCTCACTCTGTCACCCAGGCTGGAGCGCAGTGGTATGATCTCGGCTCACTGCAACCTCTGCCTCCTGGGTTCGAGCAATTCTCCTGCCTTGGCCTCCTCAGTAGCTGGGATTACAGGGGTGCGCCACCATGCCCAGATAATTTTTGTATTTTTAGTAGAGACGGGGTTTCACCATGTTGGCCAGGATGGTCTCAAACTCCTGACCTCAGGTGATCTGTCTGCCTCGGCCTCCCAAAGTGCTGGGATTACAGGTATGAGCCACCACTCTCGGCCTTATTTTTATTTATTATTACCTCTCCTCTATATGTATTATTTAAAAATCTTTGCATATGTTTTAAATTTCACTGTTCAAAGTCATAATATGACTTTAAGATTTAATATGGCTTGGTGTTTTAATATGTTATATGAGGTATTTGGAGTTAGAAAATATCATATGAATTCTAGTTCTGTTGCTTACAAGTAGCAGCTTCTGGTTGAACAATACTAAACTGCCCCCCTCCCTTTTTGTTTAGCTGAATTATAATTCCAAGACATCTTCAGAATCAATTTAACTATAAGAAACAATGTTCACTGAGCCATTTTTTAAACTATAGATTTAGTAAAATGTGGATTATTTTAAAAAGGGTTATGTTTAACAATTCTTCGAACTCAGTTTTCTGTAGAATTGGAATAATAATACCTCCCATACAGAATTGTTATTAGCATTTTGTAAAATGAAAAGCACAGCACAAAAGTTAGTTGTATTGGGTAGTTTTCTATAAAAATAGGTTCTTAGTTTCAGATATATAAAGGGAATTGGAAACTTATTAGCAAGCGACATAATTTTACCTTTTGAAACTTAAGATACTATAGTGTACAAAAAAAAGAGATTGAATTCTTGGAAATAAAGTCAGGAGTTGAGTTCTTACATATTCATACTTAGAAATTTTAAATTCTACCCTCTCATTTTACATGAAATGACACTAATCCTAAAGAGTTAATGGCAAAACTGGGGCCAAAACCCAAGCCTCCTAATTTCAAGTCTAATGTTCTTCATACTATATGCAAAATTAATTGTGTCGAGGAAGAACTTACTTGATTTTTAATGTAAGTCATGTTAAGCTCTAGAAGATTATAATAGTTAAACACTTAATTTTTAAACCTATATGATTTGCCAGTGAGTGAAAATATTTTTAGAATCTTTTTTTAGATTGTTCACCTTGTAGCATGTTTATTATTTTATTTTACACTGGAGGCCTACCCTCAATTAAGGGTAATGAAGTCATAGAATCTTTATTAAGCAATGATTGCCTTTGATAAGAGAACCATAAACATGATTCTTATCTGTGAATACTATATCTGGTGAGGTTTGTCACTCCTTTCAGATATATATGACAAAGTGGAAAGATCTAGTAACAATTGTATTCCAGTGCTTTGGGAGACTAAGGCAGGGGGATTGCTTGAGGCCAGGAGTTCGAGACAAGCCTGGGCAACATAGTGAGACCTCATCTCTATAAAAAATAAAAAAATTAGCCAGGCCTAGTTTTGTGTGGCTACAGTCCTAGCTATTCTGGAGGCTGAGGTGGGAGGATCACTTGAGCTCTGGAGGTTGAGGCTACAGTGAGCCAAGATGACATTACTGCCCTCTAGCCTGAGTGACAGAGCAAGATCCTATCACTTAAAAAAGAAAAAAAAATGTGTATGAGGTATATCTATATTTATGCTTGCATCTCCTAGCAGCACCCCCCCTTACTATGACATGATTTTTGTTTAGATTTTTAAAATATTATTAATTTTTTTGTATTTGTGTATTTTAATGAAATCTAGAAAGATGGAAAATATTGAATAAATAAGAATAAGTAAGAATATGCTCACATTGAGGATATACCCTTCATTGTGCATCTCACCAGAGGTGGGAATACTATTTTAATATTAAAGAGCTTGAAACTTTTGTTTCTCAGTTTAATACTATATATATTTACATTTTGTTTAATTGCTTGGTTGATTAGAGGCTAACTTTTTTAAGTAATTAGGAGTGTTAATAGCAGGGTCTTGATTATTAATGTTATACATTCTCAGCTTTCATTTTTTTTATATAAACATTTCTCACAATAAATTGAGCCTTTTTTTTCTAATGTTACCAGTATAGTAATTGTGTATCAAATTGTTGAGGTTTCAACATATAATGCTTATTTAATAAATAACCTGATTCATATAAAACTCTTAAAAATCTTTAGAAACACATCACATTTTACCTTGCTTAAAATTGTTAAGATATTCAGTTTACAAAATGTTACTTTAAAATTTTCAAACCCTGTTTCTTGGAAATACTATTGATTTTTGGTTTGTTCTTTTTTTTTGCTTATACATTCTGTTATGAACTTTTCTGTTACTTTAGAGTCAGCTTTTTACTTTATAGGTAGAAAGTTTTTTTGTCATGTTTAGAGTTCGACTTTATAATTTTGAACTATTGAAACTTAAATGACTTGCTAAACTTGTTAGAGGGCCTTTGTAAACTGATCTCCACATGGGGGAGTCCCTTATTCCCAAGTTTTATTAAAAGGCTTTGGTGATTATAAAGTGAAACCAAATAGATGAAAATACCTTTAATTTAAAAAGCAATATGTTAAATAAATACAAGCAATATAGGCAGATGTATATATATTAGTTCCACATTTGAAATATAATACTCTTAAATTAGTTAGATATGGCCTCTTTTGCTCATATTTTCAGTTCTAGCATTTAGAATTGAAGCTGTAGGGGTTTAAATGTTAGCATCACTTTTATAATATTAGTCATAAAGTTCATCCAGGCTTGGAGAAAAAAAAGAAGATAAGAGTAAGATGGGGCAGGTATCAGGGAATGGATGAAGTGGTATGGAAGTTGAATTATAGAGGTGAAGCATTAAGTGGTCGAGTAGGAGTAAGGATGGGAAGAAGGAAATGTTCTGGGCTTACAGGAAGGCACAGAG